>NC_000009.12:67089823-67255969 GCF_000001405.40 Homo sapiens
TCTCAGTGAATGCATTTTTAGTTTTTGAAGTATGTAATTTTTTTTTTAGATTTGTACTTAGCTATTCTTACTAAATTTTGGAAAGTTCCTGCTTTATGGAAATGAATCAGTGACTCTAAATGGTTCTTTGAGGTATAAAAACAAAGATAGTAACAAATACAAATTTCACAATCTGGACTAGAAAACATTGCTAGTGACCACAACTCAAATACAAATATAAAAAGCATCTTTATTAACCTGGGGTAAAAGCTTCTCTGCGTGGGGCAGTTTTACCCAGGCAACTGAACAGGCGGTGCGGGACGAATGTTTGAAAATTGGAACTAACTTGGACGCACTCATCCCCATTTTCCATGCCTGCTGTGCACTCCTGCCAGATGGGAACATGATGTCATATTTTCCGTCAGTTTTCAAACAAAACGGTGATAATCTAATATTTTCTGGAATAACCATAGAATAATGTTTTCCAATGTGAACTTGGTAAATTTTATGAATGAAAGAGAAGCAGATATTGGATCCACACAGCCATCGTTGAAGGTGGCACACCTAACATCAAAAACTTCTGTGCGGGACCGGGCACGTTGGTTCACGCCTGTAATCCCAGCACTTTGGGAGGCTGAGGCGGTTGGATCACCTTGAGCCCAGGAGTTGGAGACCAGCCTGGGCAACATCAAAACCCTGTCTCTATTAAAAAAAAAAAAAGTTTCATGCCACTGTTACGGACTAGGAATGTCTAAAATCCATCACAAAGTTAGTATTTTGCTTGGAGGGGCAAGTAGAATGAGCTTTTGGAAAGTTTCTTTAACAATTCTTTGATCTAGTAATTCCTGAAAACCTTTGAGGCTGGTGAAAATACTTTTTCATGTAGGGATGAATCATTCTGTGAGTCCTGGCGTAAGTCAGCCAGAAACTCATGATGGGAGCTTTTGATGGGGGGATATGAGGTTTAAAAATGGAAATAAAAACTTTCTTCACGACACTGATAATTCCTATAAAGGCCATTTCTGTGTGGGATGACATGTACAATTAACATAAATGACCCTGCTTCCAAGCTCACTGAAATTTTTCGCCAGTGCCCTCAGACCTCCGTCTTTGCTCCTAACTCAGATTGTCTTGAGTCTTCTGTGTAGAGAAAAGGGGATCATTGCAGAGACTGTGAACCAAGACATTAATCTTCACTTCTGAAGTCCAAAAGCATCTTTTGGTCTGAGGTAGAAAAAGTTTGAAAGGGAATTGAGTAGGCTAAAGGTGTTTTAATTTTTCTGCTATCTCGCAGACTAGGAACCCTCAGCAGGACTGCACGATAGGATGCATAGAGAGGTGGGGACTGCCCTGAAGCTCTGCTCTCAAGCAGAGCCTTGCCGGTGGTGGCTTAATAGAAGTCTTCACTGAAGCTCAGGGATCTGAGTGGGCGCTCTCAAGTGTGTAGTGGAAAGGAGAACGCCAGTCTCCAAGAGCAGCCTGCACGGCATCCTCATTGTGCTGCGGCACATTCAGTGACAGGACTGGATGCCCTGTGGCAGCTCTGGTGGCCGGTGAGGACAGCCCCAGTTATCCAAGGACACCCTGAGGTACCAAAGGCAGGTGAGCAAGACCATGTTCCTGCCTGAGGTCTGGCAGAGGGAGGAGAAAGGTTCATCAAAACGTTGTGGAGAGCACTGTCCCAGCCTGGGATGGGAGGACTTGGCTCCGTCGGCAGCAGGTCGCCATCCCTGAGGACAGTGCAGTGCTGACTTCTACTTGGGGCTTGAACACACTCCCCTCCCCGCTTTACCAAGGCAATTAGCAAAGCCAGAAGAGACCAGAGTTAACTCTGGGGATGAAGGGGAAGTAAAAGAACCCCTGAAGGAATTTTCAAGGGTCTGCGACCAATACAGACACGAACTGACAGGCTTATCCCTTAACTGGACAGAGACACCTGTTGTGACTACTTCCAGTCTCTGTATCAGCCAGAATTCCAGCTCCTACTAGAAAGCTTTCTGGGTTATGGAGAAATGAAGTTACATTTTCCCTCATGAGTTTGTGATTTAAAAATTTATACCTGCAGAATGATTCTGACGGATTTGCTCAAGTGGCTTTTGTCAGGGTTATAGTCAGTATCTTCTCTAGCCTCAAATTAATGAGATGTTGTTGAGGATGACTTAAAATTTTCTTTGAAAGTCTGAAACATGATGCAGAATGCTTGCACCAAAAGAGTTTTACATTTTCCCCACGCTTGTACTTACTAGAGCCAAGTACATCAAAGGTGTGAGTTAAAACCCGTGATGCAGGGAACTCTGACACTTGTGATAACATGGATGAACCTGGAGGACATTATGTTAAGTGAAATAAACCAGGCACAGAGAGACAAATACCATATAGTCTCACTTACATGTGGAATTTAAAGACAGTGCTCACAGAAGTAGAGAGTAGAATGGTGGTTACCAGACGCTAGAGGAGAGGGTGGATAGGGAAGGGGGAGATGTTGGTCAGTAGGTACATAGTTTTGGGTAGATAGGAATAATAATTTCTGTTGTTCTTTTGCACAGCATAGTGAATAGAGTTAATAAGTGTTGTCTGTTTTGAAATATATGAGAGAATTTTAACTATTCTCACCGCTAAAAGAATGATACATATTTGAGGTGACTGATATGTTGATTAGCCTGATTCGATCATTTTACAGTGTATGCATGTATCCAAACATCACATTGCACCTCATAAAAATGTACAATTATTATTCATCAATTAAAAATAAAAGTTAAACATGGGAGTTAGCAAACTTCTGCTGTAAAGAGACAGATGGAAAATGATTTTGGTATTGTGGACCATGTAAGGTCTCTGTTACATTTCTTTTTTTTCTTTTTTCTTTCTCTGTCTTCCCTCCCTCCCTCCCTCCCTCCCTTCCTCCTCCTTCTCCTTCCTTCCTTCCTTGCTTTTTTCCTTCCCTCTTTTTTTCTTTTCCCCTCTTCTCTCTTTCTCTTTCTTTTTCTGAAACACAGTCTTGCTCTGTTGCCCAGGTTTGGAGTACAGTGGCAAGATCACAGCTTAGTGTAGCCTCAACCTCCGTGGGCTCAGGTGATCCTCCCACCCCAGCCTCCCGAGTAGCTGGGACCACAGTCACATGTCATAACACCCAGCGAACATTTATATTTTTTGTAAAGATGGGATCTCATTATGTTGCTCAGGCTGGTCTTGAATTCCTGGGCTCAAGCAGTCCAGCCACCTCAGCGTCCCAAAATGTTGGGATTACAGGCCTGAGCCACCATACCCAGCCCCCACCCTCTTTGTTTTTTTTTTTTAAATGCAACGCTTTACAAATGTAAAACCATTCTTAGTTCTCTGGCTATATAAAGCAGGTCATAATCTAGATTTTGGCTGCCAGACCTAATCTAGATTTTTACTAAGCCTACATGCTAAATATGTCTGGCACTTTCCCTTAAAAAGCTCTCAGCATTTATCACATGCCTGTGTGCTTACTAGGTGTTTGTATGCTTTTCTTACACTTTGTGCAATTCTAACTTCCTTGAAGGAAGGGTGCTATCTTATCCTTAGTGATTAGGGATAAGCTTGGAATCATCCAGGCTCTACCCCTTACTAGCTGTGTAACTTTGGACAAATTCCTTTATCTCCCTGAGTTTTTGTTTCCTCAGTTATAAAATGGGATTAGTAAAGTACCTATCATGAAACAGTTAACTTGAGTAAAATAGGTTGTGAAGATTAAATGAATTAATACACATAAAATAATTAGGTTATGTTACATCAATGTTCAGAGCAGGTGTATCCACAAGAGCCAAAAGAGAAACAACCCAAATTTCCATTGATGGACAAACGGAGAAGCCTAGTGCAGTGTAGGAAGAAAATTCTGGCCCGTACTGTAACACAGATGAACTTTCAAGACATTATGCTAAGGAAAATAAGCTAGACACAAAAGGACAACTACTACGTTATTCATTTATATGAGGTACCTAGAGTAGTGAAATTCATAGAGACAAGAAATAGAATAGTGGTTGCCAGGGGCTGGTAATGGAGGTTATTGTTAGTGGGTTCAGAGTTTTCATTTGGGAAGGTGAAACAGCTCTAGAGATGGATGGTAGTGATGGTTGCACAATGTGAATGTACTTAATGCTACTGAACTTTACATATAAAACAGTTCAAATGGTAAATTTCATGTGATGTGTATTACCATAATTAAAAAATTAGTATATGATCTGATCCAAAGTAGCTAAAATCTACTGAGTGCTGCTGAAGCAAAAATTATAATTAGTAGCTTTTTTTTTAATTTGTTTTGTTTTGTTTTGGTTTTTGAGATGGAGCCTCACCCTGTCACCCAGGCTGGAGTGCAGTGACGTGATCTCGGCTGACTGCAACCTCCGCTTCCTGGGTTCAAGCTATTCTCCTGCCTCAGCCTTCTGAGTAACTGGGATTACAGGTGCGCGCCACCACGCCTGGCTAATTTTTTGTATTTTTAGTAGAGACGGGGTTTCACCATGTTGGCCAGGCTCAACTCCTGACCTCGTGATCCGCCTCGGCCACCTTGGCCTCCCAAAGTGCTGGGATTACAGGCGTGAGCCACCGCGCCCGGCAATTAGTAGTATCAACAGTGGGAGTAAAAGTGGCAGTTAAGCACATTGTTTCACAACATCTAGCTCAGAGCCATGACAAAGCAAACATTAAATAATATGTATAGATGGAATTAAACTTAAGCTTCTGTAGTAGAATAATTCAGAATAAAACATGAAATAATGCCAGGTAATGTCAGTTGTTACCAAAGAAATGTCCAAACTCTGAAAGAGCTTGTTAAATTAGGTTATGGCAGCCCACGGTGCAGGGGAGGGGACCGTCAGGTGATGTTTAAGTAGTTTACATGGACTGAATGAATCCCCTATGGTTCCATTTAAATTGGCCACCACACTGCCAGGCATATGACATTGGCAACTTAAACTCGACAGAGAAACCTCTAAGAATAAGATTAATGCATTTCTCATTCTCTGTGTCACAATTATTCAATTTAAAAAAACAGGAAAATATCAAAAATCTTTTTATGAAATGGCTGTACCAGTTTTACCTTCTACAGTATAAATGCAATATGGCTTTTGGTGCATTTAAATTAATTTTATAAGGAGTCCCAATCAGCTGATGAGTAGTTTTAGAATTGTTCCTATAATTGTCAACCTGGAGAGCTCTTCACTATTTTATTCATACTTCACTGAAAATTAAAGTTCAGTTTTATGCCTAATTTTATACATAACGTGTTGTAAAACATCACCATTTGGGTGATGTGTGTATATGTGTATTTTCCTTCCAATAGGATATATATGTGTATTTTCTATTTATAACTAGCTGACACAGGACCATTCTCATAATCCCATTTGATTTTTGTATTTGTCAGTAGATATAACAATCTCCCTTTGGTTCAGATTGAAAAAACGGAAAATGATGATGATGATGATGATGATTGTTGACTGTGCTGATAATTCTTTGTATACCATTATTTTAGCTTTAAACTATTTTAAGTGTGGTCCAGTACAAAAGCTGCTTAAGTCAGATACCCCAGTCTCTATGATGTGATTATTATGTATTACATGCCTGTATCAAAATATCTCATGTACCCTATAAATACATACAACTACTACATACCCACAAAAATTAAAAATTAAAAAGGAAAATAAACCAGAAAAAAGTCAGATTTTTAAAAAATTTTACATTTCATTATATTTAGAAAACTTAGCTTTATGGGGTTTTAGAGAACATGGTTTTTCTTCCATGTACCTTCCTATTTATTTTTTATGATGCTCAAAGTTGCTAAGTTTCCACATATTTTAGTAAGAATTAGCAATGCCCTGAATTCCATAGCTTTCATAAAGGATTACCTGTGTACCATCTCATCGCCACCTCTTTCCTATTACAGGAAAGCAATAAGAAGATATTCTGTAGTTAATTTAGATTGCTTGCCAAAATAGTTTTAAACTGATTTGTAATTTTTCCTAAACCAGAATGAGGAATTGTATAGTTTAAAGTATTAATATATATGAAATTGTCACACTACGTTTCAGATGCTTAGGAAATGTAGAGAAATTATTGTAAAATACATTTTAGAAAAGATGTTGCAACAAGACGAGGACAGAAGTCTGTGAAGTGTTGTGAGGAGGGCCCAGGGAAGCAGGAGGAAGGTGGGGAGACCACAGGATGACCTGGAGCCAAAGAAGAAGGGCCCAGGTCCCAGGGTCTCTACAGCACTGCCGGCCTTCCAGCCACAGTTTTTCTCAATCTTCCTGTCATATCCCTCAAGGAAGTAAGTGGACATTGTAAAGAGCGAGTAATTATAGCACAACAAAAATCAAAAGTCATGATTCTGGAAAGCATTATCAATAAAAAATGGAGAAATAGTTGACATCTCTTCATGTTTCCTCTGGAAATTTCTGATTATGTATGTATACTCTTCCACTCTAATATCCAAACAACTCTCTTACTTCTTCATGCAAAGAAACATGAAAGAATGAAAAGGTTCATCACAAGTGTATGATTAATTTTGTATATATAATTTTGCAAATTAATAGATTTTAATGTGTTCAATAAATGTACATAAATACACATGTATGTATATATCTGTGTGTGTGTATGTACTATGTACTAAATATATACTATATGTGTGTGTGTGTGTGTGTGTGTATATATATATATATATTTAGAGAGAGTCAGTGTGTACTTAATAGTCAAATCCAAATTTCAAGAACTTTATATTTTATGTAATGGCACCAGTTTTCCTGAAGCTGAATGTATGTGTGTGTGTGTGTGTGTGTATTCAGTTGCAGGAATATATACATATATACGGTCAGTGTGAGTGTGTGTATATATATATATATATATACACACACACACATATGTCAGTACATACATGGTCAGTGTGTGTGCATATAAACACACATATATGTCAGTACATATACACATATACATATATGTTAGTGTATACTAACTGTATACTGACTATATATAGTCATAGTCATATATACTGACTATAGTCATAGTCATATACTGACTATATATGTCAGTATATACATACATATATATTTCAGTATATATATGTATGTATACTGACATATAGGTATAGTCAGATTGTGTATATTCAGCTACAGGAAAATTGGTGCCATTATATAAAATATGAAATTCTTGAAATTTGGATTTGACTATTAAACCTGACTTTGTTGTCATTAAGTTTACATTGATATTTCCTGGAATTGCACATTGCTAAATTTTTCTGCAAAACCAAGATTTCTAAAATATGATGGGGCATTTGATACAAGAAAAGGCAAATAAAGAAAAAGTAGAGCTCCATTTGTCATTCTTCTTAAGTGTCTCCTTAAGAAAACTATGTGATCCAAAGTTATTTAGACAAAAGCTTAAGAAATAAAACACTTAGTAACTCACGCTAGTACTTGATTATTCTTTTGCTTATCAAGTTTTCTTCTTTTTATGATTATTATACCTTTAATTGCGAACATTCATTGGATTGGCTCAGTAGCATTTTATGTGAGACAACTTTCCATTTTAATAAGTACATATTCTCCTTCGTTAATGTGAAATAGAAGTGCAGGAGTAGGGATGAAATGGATAATTTTGCTAGAAGCAAATTGAAACTGGCTAGGCAAAAGCGTATATGTATTTTGCCCTCTTTTTCTGTTTTTAGAAAGTGCTTGTGTTAACTCTCATTCTCAGCCAGAAGCGTTAATGATTCAAACGGGCTGTATATATTGAAAACCATGAACTCTCACGTGCAGAGTACAATCAGGGAGCAAGCCCGTGGGTTTGAATGGAAATTAACGTTGGTGTATGGGAATGAATTTCATAGACAAGGATAATTTAGAAACCTATGTGATAAACTGCAAACACAGAGCAAATGGAAACATATTGGATCTTTTCCCTCCACTCCTCATATTTCTCCACTATTCAGATGTCCTTCCATGTGATCATGCTTTCTTGGCACACTGAATAGGTTCAGTGATTAAGAGGCAGAGAAAATAATTACTGAATATTTTTAATACAAAATGAATAGCTCAGGATATTTGTAAGGGCTTTTCAATATCAAGATATTTATTTCCCACATTAGAAAGTATAAGTCCTAATGAAAACTTGGCACCATAGTTTAAAATCATATTAATAAATAAAAGCAAAATTCTTACATTGGGGAAATGACCCATAAATGGTTTGTTATAGTATGCGATCTTTAACTACTTGAAATTTCCACTATTCTGCACAGTGCAATATCCCAAAACAGAATAGGATGTGAGATTTCATTGTTTTGTATGAGGAATCTAGAGGAAAGAAATTGATAAAAATGTATGCAATAATTTAAAAATATAAAGAGTATCAATCTCTGATAGAATAATGTAAATGTAGCAAATATTTAAGATAACTAATCTAATAAGAATTAAATTCCCCTACATTTTTCTTCTCCCCTCCCCTCCCCTCCCTTTTCCCCTTCTTTCTCCTTTCCCCCTTTCACCCTTTTTCCCTTTTCCCCTTTCTCCCTTTCCCTTTCCCTGAACAGCTGGGATTACCCTTGTCCCAAGTAGCTGAGATTACAAGCACCCACCACCAGGCCCGGCTGATTTTTATATCTTCTGGTACAAATGGGGTTTCACCATGTTTACCAGGCTGGTCTCCAACTCCTGGCCTCAGGGGATTCGCCCACCTTGGCCTTCCAAAGTGCTGGGATTACAGGTGTGAGCCACCACTCCTGGTCCTCATTTTTCATAAAATCAAAATTCTTGCATATTCGCCTCCTTAGTTTATAGGTCAGAAGCTACACTAAGCTTCCCAATGTGCCTAGGTGTTAGATGTGCCAATTTACATATGCAACAAAGGACCTGAAAAGTAGAACATTAATACAACAGAAAATATTTTGCCTGAGGATATTGTTTACTAAATTTTTTATCTGTGCCTTTTAATAGTTCTTAGAATTAGTAAGTCCAATGGCATTCTATTTTTATGCTTTTTTTTCCTCAGATTTGTAGCATATGACAATGTGAATATGTTACAAATGTTGAATGATTCAGCTGACTACAGGCCAAACAAAATAGCATCAGGTTATCTATAGCAAAATGTGTTTCGGTTGAAGAAATATGTAGATTTTAAAGAAATTAATCTTACTTACGCAAAGAGTATGCTTCAGCAGCATATGTAACTTTAAAATTCATCTAAAATAGGTTGTTAGTACTATGACAGGAAGTGGCATTCAAACAAACAAAATATTCATAAGGATGTTAATACAGATTAGACATGAGAACAAGAAATATTTGGCTGGTCTGATTCTCTTGGGTCACTTTAAAAATTATTTTTAAAATTTTTGAAATTGAGGCATAACTTAAAATACAATTAAATGCATAAAGTGTGCCATTTGGTTAATATTTACAGATGTATACGCCTGTATTACCAGAGCCCAGATCAAGTTACAGATCAGTTCATCACCCCCTTACCATTTGTTAATACTTTTTATTGATTATCTAGGCACCTCCCACCTATCACTGTTCTACTTTCTGTCATATTATTTAGGTTGGCTTGTGCTTTTGAACTTACAAAAAGTCATACAGTACCAGAATCATACAGAAGCTTTTGTATCCAGCTCCCTTTAGGGAGCATAAGGTTTCTGAGATCCATCCATGTTGTTGCGTGGATTTGTGGCACATTTCCTTCTATTGCTGAGTAGATTTCAATTGTGCTGTTTGTTTATCCATTCTTTTTAAAATGGACACTTGTGGCTTGTTTCCAGTATGGATCTATTATGAATAAATTTCTACAAACATTATTTTACATCGCTTTTGGGAGTGGAATTTCAGTATGTGAAACTCTAAAGAAACTGTCAAACTATTTTCAAAAGCCCTTGAACATGTTATACTCCCATTGCCAATGTGTGTCAATTCCAGTTGCTTCTTATCCTGGTCAACATTTGGTATTAAAATCATTAACCATTAGAGAAATATAAGTTAATATCATAGAGAGATAATATGTTCTCTAGGATGGCTAAAATTAAAGAATGGCAACACCTGTGAACTATATTACTCATGGCACCACAAACAACAACATGAGTTTCAGCTTATTTGTATCTGTCTCCTTTGCCCCTGAGGCCCACAGGGTCAATGCAATAGGGCACGTATGAATATTACACTCATAGCAGACTTGTATTGCAGCTGAGAAATAATGAGCTTGGGGAATCTACTGCAGTTATAGCAAGTAGTAAGTGAGAAGGCTCTTTGTGTGGAAGAAAATGTAACCTCACCTCTCAAGGTTACCAGCTGCATAAACAACCATGAAAAAAGGGTCCATAAAAGAGCTTTTAGGCCTTTGTAGTCTTAGCAGACCCAACAAAACATGTAGGAGTGCAAGCTGCTTAAAGTGGACTGTCTCTCCATACATTATTGTGTATGGATAACATGTTCCTATATGGAGATCTTCTAAGAAATCTAGAAATCTAAAAGACACCAACTAATAAGTGAATTTTAGTAAGTTAACAGGATACAAGGTTAATATACAAAAATCAATTCTTTTTTATGTAGTAGTAACAATCTGATTATCAAATTAAGAAAAGAATTTCATTCACAATAGCATTAAAAATAAAATACTTAAATGTAGATCTTACGAAAGGTGTGCAGGACCTGTTCATGGAACACTATAAAACATAGCTATTAGAAAATAAAGAAGACTCAAATAAATTGAGAGACACACTATGTTTATAGATTGGAAGAAACTGGAATTGTCCTAATTGTAATAATCCTAATTGTCATACTTTGTTGGTGGGAATGTAAATGGTGCCACCACCTTGGAGAATAGTTTGGCAGTTTCTTAAAAAGTAAAAGCATGTACTTACCATATAACCTAGCAATTCCACTCCAAAAAATGTATGTCCACTCTAAGACTTAAATGTTCATAGAGGCTGGGCACAGTGGCTCACACCTGTAATGCCGCCAGTTTGAGAGGGCGAGGTGGGTGGATTACTTGAGGTCAGGAGTTTGAGACCAGCCTGGCCAACATGGCGAAACCCCGTGTCCACTAAAAATACAAAAATTAGCTGGACGTGGTGGTGCACACCAGGAATCCTAGCTACTCGGGTAGCTGAGGCAGGAGAATCGCTTGAACCTGGGAGGTGGAGGTTGCAGTGAGCTGAGATTGCATTGAATCTTGGCCTGGGCAACAGAGCGAGACTCCGCCTGTTGTAAAATGTAAAAAAAAAAAATGTAAATGCAAAAATGTAAAAAATGTAAAAAAAAATTTATATATATATATATATTCATAGCAACATTATTCATAGTAGATGATATGGTTTGGCTGTGTCCCCACTCAGATCTCATCTTGAATTGTAGCTCTCATAATTCCTAGGTGTTGTGGGAGGGACCCAGTGGGAGATAACTGAATCATGGGGGCGGTTTCCCCCATACTGTTCTCGTAGTTGAGAATCAATCTCACAAGGTCTGACGGTTTTATAAGGGGGACCCCCTTTTGCTTGATAGTCATTCTCTCTTGTTTGCTGCCACGTAAAATATGCTTTTCGCCTTCTGCCATGATTGTGAGGCCTCCTCAGCCACATGGAAATGTGAATCCATTAAACCTTTTTTCTTTATGAATTACCCAGTCTCAGATATGTCTTCATCAGCAGTGTGAAAATGGACTAATACAGTAGACAAAAACTGGAAACAACTCAAATGTCCATCAGCCACTGAATGGATAACCACAATGTGGCATATTCGTTGAACTGGTTGCTATTTAGTAATAAAATTAAAGCTACTGATAGGCCATGATTTCTTTATGTACTTAATTGTTGCTTAATGTTACCAATTACTCTTAATGAAGAATGCCGTCCCACTCCTCTCTAGGATTTTCGCATCACTCTCTTACAGTTTGCGTTCTTCCTTCTAAAAATGTTGTCCTTTCACTTTTTTCCTGTTCAAAAAAATCCAGTGATACATGTGACAGCTCAACTGTCATGCAGTTCTTGGCAAGAAAGGTGAGGTTGAATAGGAAACTTCCTGTTTACCAGAGGCAACTGGAATCACTCAAGAATAAAGGGACACTGTATTCACCATCATATTGCCAGCTTCTGCTCCGGAGAGATGAAGTACATGTCTTTAATATATTCTTCCTGATAAGTACATTTTAAAAGGCACTTTATATATAAAATAAACATAAGAATGAAAAAATGTAGGGAAGACAGACCATCTAGGAACCTGAGGAATTGAGGAAATTATAGAGATAGAAAACAAATTAGTGGTTGCTATGTATAACTGTAAAGGGTACCAATGAGGAGGATTGTCGTGGTAGTGAAGTCATTCTCTTTCTTGATTGTGGTGGGGGTTACGGACCCTAAACGTGTCATACAACTGGATAGATACATCGTTTCCTGGTTTTGATATTGTACTGTAATTTTATAAGATGTAACCACTGGTAGAAACTAGGTGAAGAGTACACATCACTTCTCTGTACTGTCTTTGCCAATTCATGTGAAGCTGTATTTCAAAATAATTTTTTTCTTAAATAACATTTAAATTCTGACTGGCAGTTTAATTTGTGCTTCAAAACTGATTCAAAAGGACTATGACCAATGATGAAAATGGTAAATTACAACAATTGGTCCTATAACCAACTCTCCTACATTAGTTATTAAAGTCAGTGTTAAGGGAGGCATTCCAGAACTTCTATAGGACATGGTGCAGATTCACCTATTTTCTTTCACATTAATTTTTGCCAACTGGATTTTTTTAGGTTGTCATATTTTTTCCAAAGAATTCAGTGGGACAAACGTTAGCAGAATTCTGATGCCCCACATTGTCCCTGTTGTGTGCTTGCCTCTAAAAAAATTCCTCTGTTAATAGCAACTTAAAATAAACATTATTGTAATGTTTAGAGGACATTCCTTTTGCATCATATTTTGATAGTGTCCTGTTACATGCAATAATAAATGCATGTCTCTCTTCATATGAGGCTTTAACAGCAATTTCATAAACTATAATTAGTTTAACTACATAATATCCTTAGGAAAAATGTAAATATTACCATCTCTTTTTTTTTAGGGGGTGGACTAGGGGATTTTGGTTGACTGAGCAATCAATCACATACAGATGGATAATTTGATATTCACTAAAATATTCACTTCTCAGCATTTCACTCTCGTGTTTCCTTGCATGACATCAATTGTCATTTAATAAGAAAGACAAATACACGTGTTTAATCACTCCCTGAAGAAAGTAAACACACTATCTGTGGGAAATGGAACACAATGAGAGGCGTGCCGTCAGCCTCAGGGTGCCCTGACTCCATTCCAGCCCTCTCCTCATATGCCCCATTTGCACATCACCCATCACTTTTGCCTAATTGTTTCTACTCACCAAGTGAAGATAATGGCTTCTTTGCCTGCTCAAGTGATAATTTGAGATTATATGTCTCATCAGATACTTTATTGGATGAATGAAAAAATGCACAATGATGGTTTTATTAAATTATGCAGTTAGTTACCAAGATGAATGGAACTACACCTATGCAAAAATCAAGATGTGGAGATAAGGGAGGTTATAGGCTGAGTTATTTAACCTTTAGGGCTCTTTCTGATATTTTCTGTGAGGGCCAAATAGAGTTCTCAGTGGACTGCATGTGAGTTTCTGCCAATGGCCTGTGGAGCAAGTGCCTGCAAGAGGGAACACTCCCCCAACTTCTGGGGTGATAAAGGATTTCTCACTGTCCCACCAGCCTGCACAGTAGGTTTCACCATTTTGTTAACTATTCCAGCTGAACTTTTCTTACTGACCTCTGGTTTCATCTATCTAAGGTGAGCTCCTGCTCACATCTCTCCCTGCGAGGTTCATATCTCTTTAGATTTTAGGCCAGGTGGTGGTTCTGCAAGCTCAACTCTCCAATGCATTTGTAAAAGATCATGAACTTGAAGTTTGTTGTAAGGGTGGAAATGAGGCTCCTTATAGCTTTCTACTTCCTGGGGCAGAAGCCAGAAGTTCCAGCCCATAGATTTTGATAAGTTGTATTTTCATTTTCATTCAGCTTGAAATACTTGCTAATTTCCCTTTTAGTTTCTTCTTTGATTCATTGAGTATGAAGTATGTGTTATTAGTTTCCTAATATTCCTGGATTTTTCAGAGAAGTTGCTATTGCTGATTTCTTATTTTAATCTATTGTATATCACAAAGATATACTTTACATGACTTAAATGATTTTAACTTTGTTGAAACTTGTTTAATGACTCGTTTAATGGTCTATTTTGGTAAAAGTTCCAAATGAACTCGAAAAAGAATACATGTTCTTCTGTTAGGTGAAACATTCCATAAATATCAATGAATCATATAGGTTGATAGTGATAATTAATACTTCTGAATCCCTATTTTCTGTCTTCTTGTGCAATCAGTTACTGAGACGGGGTGCTAGAATCTCCTACTGTCATTGTGGATTTATCTATTTCATTCAGTTTTACTAGATTTCATTTCGTGTATTTTGAAGCTCTGTTATTAAGTGTTTGCATGTTTAGGATTATGTTCTCTGATGAAAGAACATCTTAATCATTACAAAATAATTTTCTTTACCTTTTATAATAATTTTTGCACTGAAATATACTTTGTTTAATATAGCCAATCCAGCTTTTTTAAAAACTATTATTAGCATAATATATATTTTTCCATGTGTTTACACTTAGGCTATTTGAGCCTTTTTTATTTAAAGTGTGTTTCTTGTAGGCAACATATAGTTGGATCTTACTTTCTCATCTAATCTGACCATCATTGCCATTTAATAAGAGTGTTTGCACTACTTACCTTTAATATGGTTGTTTATATGATTAATTTTAAGTCTAACATCTACTATTTGTTTTTTGTTTATTCTTTGTCCATTTTCAAAGCTGCTAGGGAGTGTAGATGCATTTTGTAAGAGAATACATTTTATAAATTGTTATATACACTCTGAGATTTTAACCATAATTGCAGTTCTTTTTTTATGAACACATTTTTAGTAGGCTGAATATTCTTTCTGCTTCAACCTGCTAAGATTGAAGGAAATACTGCTGAAATAGAACATGTACACAAAGACAGATTCTGAGGGAGGGTTTCTGTATTTTTTTACTTTAAAGCAGCCTAGTTGAAAAAGACTGTGGTACCTGATTCTATATCTGTGTAGTTAGCCCTTTTTTTTCTAAATGAAATTAGATCTCAGGTAAATGTTTAAATTCCCCTCAGCAAAAAGGCAGATCTACTGACAAAAAGCATGGCTGTTTAAAGCCTATAAATCTCAGAAGTGGAATGAGGGAGTTTATTTAAAGCCAGCTTCACTCCTCTTCCCTATAAATTACATATAATCACACTGGAGTGTAGGAGCTGTGACAGTCCCTACCTCACGTCTCACTTCCCACCTCCTGCTCACCCCAGGTAATACCTGAAATTTTTAATGTGAATTAAAATGCAATTAGATGAGGAAAGAAACAAACAAATATATCTGGATAAAATCACATTTGAAACAATTTGTTATCTTAGTGGGAAGTGTCTCATGGGGACAAGGTTGACTTAACTGTGTGTTTGCTTGATATATAGAAGCCCCTAATAGTGGCTGGCTTTGAACATTTACTTTGTTTACTTATATTTTGTGCCCTCAATATCAAATTTAGTTAAGGAAGGTATAAGATTATGGTGATATGATGATAATCGTAATGATGATGATGATGATTTACCTGTGCATTATTTCCCCTGTAAACAAAGTCAATACATACTCTGTAACAGTGCTGCCACTTAATGACTAGATGCTATAGTCATGGGAAGTTTTATTGTTGTTAGTCAGAAACAATTCAGGCTCCAGCTGTAGGGTTTCTACTTTTCTTTTGCAGAGCCCCCTGCCCCAGATAGTGAAATGTAACTTTGACCTGATGTAAATGCAGAATTATAACACAGATATAACTGTACAAAATAGAGACATAATCCTGCCAGATTATTTATAACCAAAAAGTACTAAGTGATTGACAAATCATGTGAATATATTCATGGACAAGGATAAAAATGAAACATAGCTGATTTTAAAAATAATATCTTTCCATGTGTTTTAATTAGTGATTTTATTTTCTCATCTGTAAGGTAGATACGATAAAGACAACCCACTGAATGCTTTTAGAAATAAAAAATGATAATATGCTTGAAAATATCTGGTCGAATTCTCAGCATACAATATATGCTTCACAGTTTCTCACTTCCCCCTTTTCCCTTGTTTTCCATTACAAAATAAGTGGCAAAACTTTAATAATTTCCTCAGAACTTGAAAACTTAAAAGTGGATAAAACGGTACATAAGATAAAACCTATGTTGTGTGAACATTTAGGGACAAAACAGCGCAGCTCAGCATCTTCACTGTGGTACCAATATCAGCCTTTATAAAAACGAATTACCCTTTAAAAAATAACATCTGCTGTTCCTCAAGCCATATAAAGTGTAAGAGAAAGTTTCAGTTGCTCAGCATATTTTAATCTCATTCCAGTAATGGAACATGTGTGTCAGAACATATATTATGAATGGAGGGGATGAGTTTTCGTGATTCATAGGATCTGTGGGGTAGAATTGTGACACTTTATTTAACTCAGGTGCAATGTCTTGTCAGAGGCAGGGGGAGGAGGGTGAAGTGGAGAAGAAACATTTGTTATGGGGGAGAGGCTGAGCTTAGAGGACCTAACTGCTTCCCCTGTTTTGTGTACAAAGTTTTGTTGACCATAGACTAGAAGGGACTATGAAAAGACACTTCCAGGTTGAAAATTAGTCAGCACATGTATAATCTTGACTTAACAAATAGAAGACTTTCATTTGTTTTAATTTAAAGACAACAAAAATTGAGTATAACATCACATTTGAATAATAATTTAGTTACAAAGTGCTGTAGTTTCAGTTATCCCATTGTCTTCCTTACAGTCTTGTGAGGTGATTTATATGACTGTTAATCCCCCCCTCCCAACTTTATGCTTTTCTTTTTTAAACAAAGGACAACATTTTTGTCTCAGAGAGGCTGAGTGAGTGGACAATTACCACACTCTAGTTGGGGGTGGAGTCAGCCAACCTCCTTTCTCTTTCTGTTACCCATAGTGGCCTTCTATACCAACCATCAAAGCTGCCTTTAACAAAGGCACACAGACTAGTGCTATCCAGCAGTGCACAGGTCAGTCACGCTGTGTTTCCCACCATTTCCACTCAGCGTTTAATTAAATTGTGTGCACAGCAGCTTACCCTTAAAACGCATCTGGGATTGCAGATTGTAACCATGAGGCTACAACATCCTGATGAAATTCTTTGGTAATGCCAGAATTTCATTACTTTATCAGTAATGGCTGAAAATATAGCTTATTTGCATTTGAGTACTACTTCATCAAAGGTAAAATGAAATCACTGAAATGTGTCATCTGTTAGCAGGAGTGCAACCATGAACACCAACAAACTAACAAACTGTGAGGGATGCCGAGAAGAGGGATGGCCAGTGGCTCCCTCTTCATCTAATGAAAACACACCATCCCAGGGTAGCACACCAGAACCGTGTCAACTCATTTTCCTCCTTGTGCTTCTCCACATGTGTTCTCATAGTAATTACTTTTCTAAACCTGGAATGAGAGGGAGTGAAAACACCAAAGAAAGGTTATGAAATACAAGCTGAAGAGGATGCCCTTCATGCTGACTAACCAAGATGAGGGGAAGAACCAAAAATATTGAATAGTTCCTCAGAAGTTTCAGCTCTGTGTATAAAATTCCCAATGTACAACATCCAGCCTAAGATGATGGGTTGGCTGTTAGCATCTCCTTCACCTTCTCCCAACTCTTTTAAAACAACCATAAAATAGGCTGGGCCCAGTGGCTCATGCCTGTAATCCCAGCACTTTGGGAGGCTGAGGTGGGCAAATCACTAGGTCAGGAGACCAAGACCATCCTGGCCAACGTGGTGAAACCCCGTCTCTACTAAAAATACAAAAATTAGCTGGGTGTGGTGGCATGTACCTGTAATCCCGGCTACTTGGGTGGCTGAGGCAGGAGAATTGCTTGAACCAGGGAGTTGGAGGTTGCAGTGAGCAGAGATCTCGCCACTGCACTCCAGGCTGGTGACAGAGTGAGACTCCATCTCAAAAAAAAACAAAAACAAAACAAAACAAAACAAAACCCCTTAAAATAGTAATAAGAAAAACAGAAAAGGATACACAGTTTCAGTAGTGTTGTACCTAGGACCATTGGTTGCTAGTTAGACCAACCCCAAAAGGATCTCCCACCAATTAAAGTTTACATAGGCTTAGGAGAGAAGAGTAGATCTGGTGGAGTCAACAGGAAGGGCCAGTAGAGAAAACCCCATTGGCACTGCACCCTCAGCTTTCCAAAACCCAGACCTTGCCTGACCAGGAGTAGGAGAGGTTGCCCTGCTGCATGGGGGCTGCTGCCTTAGGTAGCCAGACCTGCTCACTCCCAAATGTCTTTACATCTTTGTTACATTTATTTGAGAAACACCACATCCCATGATTATCATCAAAATAATATAATAAAAATATTTAATTGCACAGGTTCTGGATCCAAAGCTTGTGGGCCCCTTGCTAGATGCGTAAACATAGGTGAGCTGCCCACCATCCATATGGAGGGTAGTAATGAGGCCTTGTCTTTTAAAGGTATGTTAGGAATTAAATGCAAAATTTACTTAAAGGGAACTCTTTGCCTGACCTAGAGTTCTCAAATGCTCGATAAGTGTTCATTGTTAAATTGAATGATTATGGAAGTGGGTACGTGGAATTCTGTTACATCCTGAAAAGTTAAGTTGGAAGGAGGAATGAGCAGAGAGAAGAAACTGTGGAAGTAGTTCCTACTGAGGGCTAAAGAAATCTGGGCACTGTCTCTGGCAGGGGCTCACATAAATATTGCTGTAAATCATCCAAGAATAAATCTTGCCCGATCTAGGAAACCATGTTGCATGAGTGGAGGATGCCCCTGGTCTATAGCAGAACATTTAACTTTGAACAAGAGCTGTGTCCACCTCCTAGCTGTCTGGATTAAGAAAATATATGGAGTATTTTAGTGTCAATCAGATGCACAGTGTTGGTTATCAGTAATTTTCCATCTTGTCTACTAGATCAAATTCCTGACTCTTCAATTCAGAACATAGAACAATAAAAAGCAAAACAAACAAAAATTATATCTATATATATGTCTGTGTACATACTATATATATAATATAAACTTTAGAGGTGCTTATCATACATTCAGAGGAAAAAATATTTTTGAACAAAGATTCACTACAAAAATATCTTAGAATCTGACTTCTAAGAATCTGTAAACTTGGGAATCATAAGGAAACAGTAGTTAAGTGTGGTCATCAATTCAAATAGGTGCCTAATATTTATATTTCTCAACACTTCCCCATAATAACTTATATTAAAGTATAATGTCCTCACTTATTCGTTTTTACACCTAGCTATATTCTAATAATATCAAACTTTTTTGGACATGTAGTGAAGTACTAAAGACTTTACAAATGAGGACATAATGATAAACTCCTAATAATAAAATACACAGTATAAGTCAATGAATAATAATGAACTGTCTAGAACTTCAGAATTTCTGTCAGAGCCTTCAGGTAAGTGGCAGCACCAGGGAATAATAAAAGTGTTCTGACTCCTCAGCTTGGGAATAGTTTATAGAGCACTCTCTTTTTCTAGACATTGATTATTAAAGAAGCTGTGGTTTTCGAGTGTCCCCTAATTCTATTAGACTAGAAAAATAACAAACATCAATAAAACATCAGCGGACATGCCTATGTTTTTGTTTCAGATGTGGCATTGGTCAGAGCAAAAAGAGCAAATTTTCTGCTCTGCATGCATCTTCTTCAATACCCAACAGTCTCCTTTTCCTTGTCCAAGGTGGATGAGCGCTGTGTGAGGCTTGCCCCAGTTTCCCTGCAGTACTGCCAGAGAGAGCAGAGTGCACCAGAACCTGCTTAGGACTCACCTTGACCATTTGCTACTCCATACCTTTTTGTATTTTTTTACCAATATCTCCTCCACACCCCAGTTCCTCTTAACCATCACTCTCCTCTGTACTTTTGTGAAATCAACTTTTTAGAATTCCACATGTAAGTGGGATTGCCTCACAAAGCACTCTATGTTTTAACTCTTCTTTTACATCCATTTCTCCTATGAGACTGTAAGCACTTTGAGTGCAAGGTCAATATATTAACCGTCTTTGTTTTATCAGTGCTTAATGCTGTACTTCCTACTACTGGAATTTAGTCTCTTATGTTGGCAAAGGGCAAATCTTGCACAAGGGCTATGAAATAACACTAGTTCCAAAAGTTGACAGGAATGCTCTAGTGGCCACCTGCATTAAACAAACATTTTCTGCAGTCAGTGGGACACCTGCCTTCTAGAATATCAGGGGTCATCTAGCTAAATGTGAACACAATTTAGGGTTCATCCAGTCACATGTAATTATTCTATTTTTTCTATTGTAAATCGATGATTTTCTTAATATATATTCATAATTTTATAGTTTTCTAATCTAGTAACAGCTATGTTAAATAACTTCCTCCTCTACCATTTTTATACTTTTTCTATTTCAAAAAAGGAGCTGGTGGCTGGACCCCACTTGTGTCAAATAAATACCAATGGCTGCAAATTGACCTTGGAGAGAGAATGGAGGTCACTGCTGTCGCCACCCAAGGAGGATATGGGAGCTCTGACTGGGTGACCAGCTACCTCCTGATGTTCAGTGATGGTGGGAGAAACTGGAAGCAGTATCGCCGAGAAGAAAGCATCTGGGTATGTTTCTAATAATAATAATTGCTACCTATTGCTGCAAACCTATTAGAAAAACAGAATTTTAAGAATTACTTTGAAAAAAATGTTCTAAGTGAAAGTAAGATACCTATTTCATTGAAAGCATTGAAAGAGAATCTTATACCATTAAATAGTGTGGAAGTTAAAAAATAATACAAATCATATATAATTTATTTTTTCTTGGTTTGCTTAATAAAGTAATTTAACATTGCCTCTGCAGTATTTTAGAGTGGTAGATTGAATTCATTTATTTTCTCTGATTTGATCTGATATTTTTGAAAGACACTGAAATTTCAAAATGTAATAAATGAGCAGTTTCTGTGTGTATGACAAGTACAGGAACACAGACTTTGAACTTGAAGAATTGTGTGTCCTTTATTAAGCAGCCAGATTTAGTTTTTCTTGTTTTTTTTTTTTTTTTTTTTTTAGAGACAGAGTTTCGCTGTTATCACCCAGACTAGAGTGCAGTAGCACAATCTTGGCTCACTGCAGCCTCTGCCACCCAGGTTCAAGCAATTCTTCTGCATCAGCCTCCTTAGTAGCTGGGACTACAGGCATGTGCCACCACACTTGGCTAATTTTTTTTTTTTTTTGTATTTTTAGTAGAGACAGGGTTTCGCCATTTTGGCCAGGCTGGTCTCGAACTCCTCACCTCAGGTCATCCACCCATCTTGACCTCCCAAAGTGCTGGGATTACAGGAGTGAGCCACCGCGCCTGGCCAGATTTAGTTTTTCATAGACTACAGATCTCTGTGACATTCTCTGAATCTGTAAATATCCTCATAACAGTGACATTATTTCTGTTTCTGATTATATGTCAGTGCCTCTTTGCCGGGGTAATCACTTTTTGTTTGACTTTTGCAGCTACTTGGGAGGCTGAGGTAGGAGAATCACTTGAACCCGGGAGGCAGAGATTGCAGTGAACAGAGATCGCACCATTGCACTCCAGCCTGGGCAAAAAAGAGAGAAACTCTGTCTCAATAATAATAATAATAATAATAATAATAATAATAATAATAATAATAATAATAAGTATTTATTACATAGTGTTTGAAAGTAACCTGTATCTGTTTAAAATCTTGCTCTGCATTGATTAATAATGTTTAAAATGTTGTGGACAGTTTCCCTATAAAAGAGATGCTGTAAGAGAAGACTCATATAGAGTCTGCATCGTATTTGTAATTTGGCTCTTTCTTCCTCCTAAAAAAAAATACGTCAATGACAGAGGTACCGTCAGCATTTTTGTTACCAAGTTAAGCAGTTCAGAGGGAAACCATAGCCAAGGCAATGCCATTTGCCAATTTTGCTTACTCTGAAAGGTTACTAGCCTGTGGGGAAAGAGCGTAAAGGTTAAGGTTCTTACTAATCCAGAACACTTAAAATGACAGATGTCAACTCTCATGATCTTACCTTGTGTAGGAGCGTGTTGAGCTTCACTGGAACAAGTGATTTACTTTCCTGGTGCCCCCTCACAGTGTGAGCTTCCTTTCAAAGTCACTGTGCCTGCCTTTCATCCCTGCATCTCTATCCTGGATTGACTTGTGGTTTCCCAAAGACATATGTTGGAATCCTAACTCCCAGTACCTCAGAATGTGACCTTAATTGGATATAAGTTTTTTACAGAGGTAATCAAGTTAAAATGTAGTCAGGAGGGTTGACCCTAATCTAATATGACTGGTGTCCTCATCAAGAAGGACCTTTGGACCCAGAGACAGATGTACACACAGGGAACACAGTGCAAGGACACATAGGGAAGCAGCCCTGTGAGGAGGGAGGATTGGAATAATGCATGGACAAGCCACAGAACACCGGAGGCACCAGCAGCTAGGAGATGGGCATAGAACAGATCCCTCCCTAGAGCCTCCGGAGGCAGCACGGCTGGCAGACACCTTGATCTTGGACGTATGGCCTCCATCACTTTAGCTACCTAGTTTGTGGCACTTTGTTACAGCAGTTCTGGAAAACTAACTCAGCCTCTAAAGCCTAACTGTGCCTAACAGGACTAGGACATCAGGAAATGTTTCCTGAATGAATGAGGGAAATTCATCCTCTCCCAGGATGCCTTTTTTGAACAACCACACTGAAAATGATCCTTCCTGGCTCTGCACATCTCTTGGACTTGTTTTGGACTAAAGCAATGAAATGTAGTGCTATGAGGGTTCAGGACTCAGCCTTCCATCGTTTTGAGCTAAAAGGTTTTTGGGGATAGGGCTTTATCTTTGCATCTCCTTCATCCTCCATCACTGTGACTGGCAAATTATAACCATTTAATAGCTTCATTTCCTACTCTGTGACCAACTATACAGAATTTGCATGGTGAAAAAAATGTTAATGCTACTGAAGAGAGAACCCACAAAACAAACCAGAGATGGTTCTTGTGAGTGTTCAGTTATAAGACACAGACCCGAAGACACTTGAGAATGACAGGCCTTGGAGAAAGCGTTACCTCATGAGTTGTTGGAAAATAATTCAGGAGGATATTTCAGAAAGCAAAAGTAATGCAAACAAAAACATGGATAATGGATGAGATACACAAAAAACAGTGAGCTGTAAGATGTGAAATGGCTGTTCAGACTGAGATGGAGAGAATATGGGGAATTTGCTGAAAGTTGTAAAATTGCAAAGAGAGAGGCTGTCAAGTTTGGATTATAAAATACCTATGTAGATATTTGAGTTTCTTTTTTTAAAAAAAACTTTTACTTTTTGTGGGTGCATAGCAGGTGTACACATTTATGGGATTCATGAGATACTTTGATACAGGCATGCAGTGCATAATAATCACATCATATAAAATGGGATATCCATCCCAAGTATTTATCCTTTGTGTTACAGACAATCCAATTATACACTTTTAGTTATTTTAAAGTGTACAATTAAATTATTATTGACTATAGTCACCTTGTTGTGCTATCAAATACTAGGTCTTATTCATTCTTACTATTTTTTTGTGCCCATAACTATCCCCACCTCCTCCCCAGCCCCCCACGCCCCTTCCCTGCCACTGATAACCATCTTGATTCGCATTTCTTGAACTGCTACATCAACATCTCAGGGACATATTCTCCATTTGTTTATTCATTAATCCATTCTTTTAGTAAATAAGCAAATAATTATGGTAGAGGTTAGTAATATACTCTTGGGAAATGTGAGCTGAGTCATAGTTATCATATTCTTCACTAGGCATGTCCCTTGTGTCTAGTATTTTTCCTATCAAAGCTACTTCTGTAGAAATAAAGTTCACTGACTGTATCCTATTTATTATTTTCTTAAAAAGATGGGCTGATATTGGCTGTCCTCCAGTCTTATCATTGCTGCCTTAACAATAAATTACATCTCTTATTAGAGTTTCTGCCCTTTACCAAGGCATTAATTTTAGATATGAATGGATGATATTAAAATAACTTAAGATTTATTTTTGATACCTAAAATATTAACACTCTTGATTAATGAAAATTATGTTTTTATAGGCTTACTATCTTTCCCAGCACATTATTATCTTTATTATTATTATCTTTTCCTGACCACAGCTACATCCCCTGCCCTCAGGGTCATCGTATTAACCTTCCTGTACCAGGAGAACAGAATGCATTTCCAGCTCTCTCCTAGGGATCCTGCTGCCTCTACTTTTATGTTAAGGACACATTAAAAATGCATTCTCCAGTCTTATATATTTCTTGTATGCTCTCCCTCTGTCGTTTTATGGCTTTGTTTTTTTTGGTCTGGTTTTACCCATTACCTATGCTAATGTTTTCTATTATTAAAGATCCACAGTTGCTTATCTGCAATTTTTAATTCTAAAAACAAAATTATTAAAATGGTGAACCCTAAGCAGACCCAAATTTATTTAGCAGCAAAATCTGAATGTACTGACTTTGGGGCTATTTGCATTTTTTAATTACTCTGCTTAATGTGAATATTCGTATGTTTTATTGCAAAAATAGTAACATATGTGATTACCACCTAGTCACTCATATTTGGTGTATACACAGTATGACCTTTCTAATATATGAAATGAATCTGAATCTAAAGCAAATCTGATACCAAGGCTTTAGATAAGAGATTGTATAGCTGTCATATCAATCACTGACATTTGATTATCTGAATGGATTAATATATCAATCCACATTCTTACTAATTACATGCTTCACATTGACGCTTCAAGGGCTAGACTGAGTTTGTGTTGAGAAATACCCAAGAAAACTAGATGTAACTCCCAGATTTATGGAATCTTCAGAGTAGTAAAAGCTCTGTTCAAAAGAGAGAATCCCTGTTACTTACAACAGGAATACATGAATATTTTCTGAGTAACAGAACAAGCTTCATTATGTATTATACTTTCAGTTAACAAAATGTGTTTCAGGACACAGACTCACTTGAGGTGAATAATCTCCTCATCTGCTACATCATTTTAAAAGGTGCCATTACTCAAACAAGGTCAAAAGAATAAACAACAGAAGAGGGAAGATAAAAGATAATTTTCTGGGAGAACCATATGTGTGTGTGTGTATGTATATATATATATAGTAGTAGTAGTAATAGGAATGGCCTTAAAAAACCACCTGGCCTAATAAGAACAAATGTTCTGAATCAGAAAGAGAGAAAAGATATTTAGAAATCCACCTAACCATGTCCTGGAATCATGCTGAGAGATTATACCATAACATTCTATTAACCATAGTCCCAGATTAGCAATCACTGACAAGCCATTTTCCCTCATGTCTATTTTTCACTTATTTCTGAAAGAATAAAGAATTAAATCTGCTAGGAAATATAGAACTTTTTAATTCATTGTGAAATTTTCTTCTGGTTGGGATTAGATATATTCAGGTTATTATCCATCCCTGACATATGTTTCAAGTTCCCCTCTGAGCACCAGACTCCATTTCCTTTCGGATGTCAAATAGTCACATCCAAAACTAAGTTTATTATCTCCATATCCTTCCCATCACCAAACCTATTACCCCTGGGTTTCCACCTCTCAGTAAATATCACAGCATTTACCAATTGTTGGCTTGAGCCAATATGCGTGGAGTTACCAATGACTTCCATTCCTTCACACTCCACGATCAATCCATAGGCATATCCTGTCAACTCAGTCGTTAGACAGATCATGTCAGTCACAGCTTCAGAGTATATGTGGAGTCTGACAGCTTTCCCTCACCTCTGTTATTACCATGACAGCCCAGTTGCCCACCATCTCTTACCTGGACCATTGCCACAGCTTCACATCCCATCTTGCTTCTGCCTTTGCAACTGGCTTCCAATTTAAATCTATATAATTTTATTTTCTTTAATTCTTGCTGTAAATTGCCACATCTTTTATGCACCATATGAATGTAGTCATTTTCAATAAAGAACTGACCTTATTTAGATAAAAAGAAATAAGCAACTTCGACCGTATTCTCTGCTTATCTGTGGCTTCAAATATTTTGTGCTATGTTCTTCTAGCTGCTCTTTAAAAATGTCAAGCAAGATCCATCCTTTGTACTAGCTATTCAGTATTTCTGAAATTTTCCCCTATAGCATAGATAGCTTCCTCAATTCATTTCTTGGGTAAATTATCTCTTCCTGATAGAATTCTTCTAGATAACCTAACCCCTAATATGCATAGAACACACACACGCAGACACGCACGTACACAGCTCCCACTGCCCTCCCCACCCCACCCGCCTCCAGCCTGTGTCTTCCCTGGTTTTGTGTTTCCTTATGGAAGTCATTATTTCTTGTTCCCATGTATGGAATTTTGTTTTTTTCCTGTCTGTCTCTTCTCACTAGGAAGATTTTATGCAAAGAAAGAAAATGTTCTCTGAATAATATTATTGGACTTTGTTTTTTAAAACTTTCTGACAAAGAGCATACAATTTGCTATAACTGAATTCTTGTTTCACTGGTCTTTATCAGTGTTGAGAATTTTTGAGATCCAAAATGTAGAACCGTTCTAACTGGGAAATCTAAAAAAGTGTCCACTAGCTGTCATGGGACGTTTTTGGGGCAGTGGACAAAGTGCATTAGTAGATCTCCCATGGCCTGTGTGTATTTGTTCCTAATTGTTATCTTTATTTTCTGGGCCTGACTGGAGCAAATGTGAGTGGAACTAACGGAGGGGGCAGAAGGAAGGTCAGAGGTTGGAGATCTGCCGATCAGCACTGAGCCCAGAGGCAGCAGCTGTCTGGACTGACTCAGTACCTGCTATGAGAGAGCAGGAAAGGATGGCAGACACTGCAGTTAGCACAGAGACAGAAACATTCTCAGTCTGAGTGTGTGTTACATGCCAGACACACAGTTGGTTGACAGTAGGGAAAAGAGAGGCTGAGGGTGTGGCTGGGTAGCTACCAAGCCGTGAGCCAGTGATGGGCAGCGACACAGTGAGTCAGAGGAAGAGCAGGTCTGCAGGACACGTCAGCCCTGCTGCCAGGTGTGGTGTCAGCCCAAACAGCTGCACCTGTGGGTCCAGAGGTGGTCAGCGGATATCTAGTTTCGGTCGGCCTTCATTCAGCCTCTGGCTGTCATGGCCACTGGGTTACTGAAATCATGGCTTGTTTCCTTCTGTATCTCTCCATCTTCGTGTACAGCTTCCCTTTATCCAACACGAAGTCAGGCAGATTGTCCTTGTAAGGCAAACTAAACATTAGCAGAGGCAAGTACACACACAACAACACTCAGGAAGTTAGAGAACATTCTTTAGTCGCTTGAAGCAAAAGGGCTTTTCCTGGCTAGGAAGCAAAAAGAAAACATTGTTTCTAAACTTGAAGCTAATGCCATCTACCATTTATGAAGAGCTCTTTGTGCATAAGGCTGTGTGCTCTGGGTTTCCAGCACTCCCACATTTAATTCTTGCACAATTCCTGTAAGGGTTACAGTTTCCAAGAAGGTAAAGAAACAGTCTCTGGCTGTGAAAGGGCTCTTTTTCACCTTGTTTCCTAACTCCATTTCTACAATAGCAAAGGAGTGAGAGACTTAGTGGTGTATTTGTCCTTATGAAACATTCTCACTTAATTCTAATTTTTTATATATATATATTTATATACACACACACATACACATACACACACATAAATGATCCTCCTGCAAAGCAAAATATATGTATATATGTATACACATAATATAGATAAAGATGTATAGATATAAAATCCATCTGAAACGCAAAGTGTAGAGAAAAAAGAAGAACACAAAATCCTGCTAGGATGTGGTGCCAGTTGAATAGGAGACATTTCTTCATGTGGATTTAGAGTTGAGCAGAGTAGCCCAAGCTTTAGAAGTTTGTTTGAGATGGATCTGTGCTAGCAAGGAATGTCACATCAAGTGACACCTCTACAAATGGATCTTTCTAATACTTGTGGGCCTTCTTCACAAATTAAGGGTCAGCATGGTGTGTTGCCAACTTCACAAATTATTCAGAAGATTTGAGTTTCAGCTGTAGGATGAAATGAGTTCAGGGGCTGGATGCAGGTGGTGGTTGAACAACAATGTGAATATATTTAATGCCACTGAACTGTACACTTAAAATGGTTAAAATGGTAGATTTTATGGGATATATATTTTACCACAATAAAAATTATTTTAAAAGGCATCCTATGAGTTAAATAGTCAATGTGCTATATTAGTAGTGCATGAGTTACACAGCCTTGTGTTACTTTTTTTCTCTCTGATTTTAATTGGGTCTGATTATTGGTAATATTGGTAATATTTGGTAATATTTGAGCAACTTGCTTTTAACTGTAGGCTTTTGAAAAAAACCATTTTTTTGTGGATTCTTAAATATTGTAGTAAATGGAAATGCCCTTTTTATGGGAGCCTGTGCTGGGGCTTCACAGTCACACAGAGTTGCCTTTGAGAACAAGAATCAGTTATAAACTATGTAAAGTTGGGTAATCTAACTTATCAAAGTTCTAGCTTTCTCATTTGTAAAATTTTAATTGGGTCTGAGTTTTAATAATAAAACCTTTATTCTGAAGGTTTTATTATATTTTTCAGAATAATAAGACTCCTAAGGTTAATGTTTTTAGTCTGATGTTATTGATTCAGTCCCATTAGTGTGAGGGAGAAGCCTTCTGTGGTATGATGCCACTAGGAACACAGAGGTACCACCTGTCAAGAAGGATTTAAGCCATTGTTGCGGTGACTGAGTGAGATGCCAGTACTCTAAGTTCCATGGGCAAACACGTGACCTTGAGAAATAGCAGAAAAGATTTTAACACATATTTATGTTAGATTAAATGGGTAACTGCCTGGGAATTTTATAGAGTATCCAAAATAGCAACTGTGGGTGAGTGTTATCAAATGATTAAGCATGGAAGTGAAGTACAATAACCATACTCTTTAAGGAGAAGCCCTTCCAGCTCTCTTCCCCACTTTGTGCCCTAATCTGGTGACAACATCTTAGAAAGCACTTGTGATGATATGAAGAATAATGGGGCTGATCCAGAATCTAACTGATTTATTCCACAGTAATGGTTCTGTTTTGTCAGGGATTCTGTTGTTTTGTCAAATTTAAAATCAATATAGCACTTCAGTATCATTTTGTTGTTGTAATAGTGAAAATCCTCAGTGATTTCTTTAAGCTGCTCTGTCTTTTAAGAGAACCTCTACCACAGCCCCAAAGGGGACCCTGTCAGTGAAAGTCTGGTTTACCAGCCAAATCCTCAGATATCTCTCTAGTTCCCCATTGGCTGTGAGTTATTTGACCTTCTGAAACAGCTGCCCTAGAATTGTACAGATATCTTAAAAGGTATTAACTTTCATTTTTAAATCAGTGACATTGACAAATCAGAGAAGTGTGCTGGTCTAAGCAGTTTTGTTTCAAGCAGTATCCTCTGTTTTACTTCTATCCCAGACACTGATGAGCAGGGGTGTTTTTCTACATTGAAACTTTGGCTATAGTGATAAATTATCTCAATAGGAAGTATAATCCTCTATATAATTAGTGAAAGTTTTACTTAAACAAAAGTGAATATTCTAGTTTCTGATGAACATTCACTAGATAATGGTTTTCTTGTTTAGAGAGTGTATCTTTGTGTGCCTCTGTAGAAAATTCCTGTGAGCTGCTTTTTTTTCCTCTTTCATTGCGATCAATTTTTTAAACTGATTATTCTATTTTAGGTAATATTTGAGCAACTTTCTTTCAACTGTAGGCTTTTGAAAAATCAGTTTTTGTGGATTTTTAAATATTACAGTAAATGGAAATGCCTTTTTTATGGGAGCCTGTGCTGGGGCTTCACAGTCACACAGAGTTGCCTTTGAGAACAAGAATCAGTTATAAACTATGTATAAAGTTGGGTGATTTAACTCCTCAAAGTTCTAGCTTTCTCATTTATAAAATGAGCATAATTGTGGGAGGAAAAATAAGATTATCCACTTAATGAGCTTAACTCTGCGCTTGGCAGATAATAAGCTCCCATAAGACCTTTGTTGTTATATTTTTTCTTCTTATCTCTGTTGCAGCACTTTTCTATTATTTAAAACTTTTTCTATCAAGCAGTATTGTCTGTTATTCTTTCATATAGTTTTGTTCACTTATAGCATACTACGTCAATTTTCATAAACAAGATTGTATCTATATGGATACATGTAATAGAACATGAATATGTATCAAACACTATAAAATTTAAATTTATATATAAGGATGCTTATAAAATGACTCATATTGACTATATTCAAATTGATGAGTTTCTAGAAGGAAAAATAAAAATAGTAGGGAAAGCAAATAGAAAATTTTGTTTGGCTCCATCTTAGGAGTTCAAGGAGAGAGGCCTGACTAAAGTTTCTATTCAGAGATACAAAAATGTTTTAATACTTATACATCACAGTATATTATCAATGCAAAACCACATAATCTCCTTTCCTCTTTCCCTCTTAATGGTGCTATGATATTCTCAAATTCTATGTATGACTTTTTTTTATAATTTGGTCTCAGAGAGGCTGAGTTTGGAGTTTCCTTTATTTTGTGGCAATAAAGATTTATTTATTCCTTCATTCCTGTAACCCTGAAAAAGAATTTTAGGCCCTTCTCACTAGGGTCTATCCTTATTTTCCTATGATACAAAGAGTATTTCAATTAGAGAAGAGACTAAACAAGAGGCATAAAAAATAGGAACCAAGTAAAAATTATTATTATTTGATCCTTGAAAACACACATAAGAAAATCACCTGGGCCAGCGTGGTGGCTCATGCCTGTAATCCCAGCACTTTGGGAGGTTGATCACCTGATGTCAGGAGTTTGAGACCAGCCTGGCCAACATGCTGAAACCCCATCTCCACTAAAAATACAAAAAAATTAGCCAGATGTGGTGGCAGGCGCCTGTAATCCCAGCTACTCGGAAGGCTGAGTCAGGAGAATCACTTGAACCCGGGAGGCAGAGGTTGTGGTGAGCCGAGATCATGCCACTGCTCTCTAGCCTGGGTAACAAGAGTGAAACTCTGTCTCAAAAAAAAAAAAAAAAAAAAAGATTCAACAGCTCACATTTTTTAATACTTTTTTTTGGAAATTAATTTAATAATCAGAAATACCTCCCTTTGTATAAGTTATCAGTTAAAATGAAAAGAAGCAAATACTGTTTATAATAGATTTAGAAGGCATAAAATACCACTGGCAGGCAGGAGAGGGGTAAGAAATGTACAAGCTACATGGGAAAAGAAAGGTTAAAACTTTACTATGAGGTATATAAGGAGATCTGTGTAAATTCTCATTTATGGATATGAAGACTCAGTAATGTAAAGATGTTAATCCTCTCTAATTTAACCCAGAATAAAATGATGTAATTCAAAATTTTACTTTGAAGAATGTTCATTCAAGAATAAACAAGGCAAGTGTACAGATGCCAGCAAGATGGTGAAATAGGACATTCGTCTGCAGAATCATCTATTTGAACCACTGTTGACATCTGAAAATACCACCGAAAGAGCTAAGTGAACTTAAAAGAAAATAGAAAAATAATTCAAAATAGCCAAAGCAATCCAAAGCAAAAAGAACAAAGCCAGAGGTATCACATTACCCAACTTCAAACTAAAAGGTTACAGTAACCTCAACAGTCTGGTACTGGTATTAAAACAGACACATAGAACAATGGAACAGAATAGAGAACCCAGGAATAAAGCTGCATACCTACAGCCATCTAATCTTTGACAAAGTCAACAAACATAAGCAATGGGGAAAGGACTATCTATTCAATAAATAGTGTTAAGATCACTGGTGAGCCATATGCAGAAGAATGAAGCTAGAACCCTACATTTTACCATATATGAAACTGAACTCAAGGTGGATCAAATATTTAAATGTAAGACCTCAAACTGTAAGAATCCTAGAAGAAAACCTATGGAACACCGTTCTGGACATTGGCCTTGGGAAAGGATTTATAAGTCCTAAAAGCAATTGCAGCAAAAACAAAAATTGACAAGTGGGATCCGGCTAGACTAAAGAGCTTCTGCACAGCAAAAGAAACTATCAACAAAGTAAACAGACAACGTACAGAAAGGGAGAAAATATTTGCAAACTATGCATCCAACAAAGGTTTAATATTCAAAATTTATGAGGAACTTAAGCAATTAGGCAAGCAAAAAGCAAACAACCCCACTTAAAAATGTACAAAATATATGAACAAACATTTCTCAAAAGAAGGCGTAAACATGGCCAATAAACATATGAGAAAGTGTTCCACATCACTTATCATCAGATCAGTGCAAATTAAACCCACAATAAGATACCATCTCATACCAGTCAGAATGGCTATTACTAAAAAGTCAAAAAACAACAAATGCTGGTGAGGCTGTGGAGAAAAGGGAACACTTACATACTGTTGGTGGGAATGTAAATTAGTTCAGCAACTGTGGAAAAAAATTTGGAGATTTCTCAAAGAACTTAAAAGAGAACTACCATTCAACCTAGCAATCCCATTACTGGGTAGATATCCAAAAGAAATCTAATCATTCTACCAAAAAGACACATACACTTGTGTGTTCATCATGGCAGTATTCACAATAGCAAAGACATGGAATCAACCTTGGTGCTTATCAGTAGTGGATTGAATAAAGAAAATATGGTGTATATATATACACCATGGAATACTATGCAGCCATAAAAAATAATGAAATCATGTCCTTTGTAGCACCATGATGCAGTTGGGGGCCATTATCCCAAGTGAATTAACACAGGAACAGAAAATCAAATACTGCATGTTTGCACTTGTAAGTAGAAGCCAAACATTGATAACTCATGGATATAAGGATGGCAACAATAGACACTAGAGACTACTGGAAGGGAAAAGGAGGGAGTGGGACAGTGGTTGAAAAACTAACTGTTTAGTTAGTACCTGGGTGAAGGGATCATTCATACCCCAACCTCAGCATTACACAATATACCAAGGTAACAAACCTGCATATGTACCTCCTGAATCTAAAATAAATGTTGGAAAAAACTAGAGATCCGGAACTGGGACTGCTCTGGTTTGAATGTGTCCCTCAAAATTTATGTTATGAGGGAGTGGGTTTCTTATAAAAGGACCCTACTTTTGTCTCTCTCTCACCCATGTGATGCCTTCTGCCTTGTTATGACACAGCAAGAAGGCCTTCACAGATGCCACCACCTTGATCTTGAGCATCTCAGTCTCCAGAACTGTTACAAATAAATTTCTGTTTATCTAAAAAAGGAAAAATTCAAAAATTAGTAAGTCATTAAATGAATAAAATGAGAAAATTAAAGATTGAAATTATACAAAAAACTAACAAATTCTGGAGCTGAGAAATGCATGAATTAAATGAAAATTGCAATAGAGAATGTCAACAGCAGAATCAATGAAGCAGAAGAAAGGCTCTGAACTCAAAGACAGTTTAGTGAAATTATACAATTGGAGAAAAAAGAATATAAAGTAATGAAGAATGCTTATGGAACTTACAGGAAAGCATCAAAAGAACAAAACTTAAAAGTATGGACACTGAAAAAGGAGAATAGAGGGACAAAGGTCTAGAAAGTTTAGTAAAGAAACAATAGGCTGGGTGTCATGGCTCATACCTATAATGTCAGTGCTTTGGGAGGCCGAGGTGGGAGAGTCGCTTGAGCCCAGGAGTTTGAGGTTGCAGTGAGCCATGATCATGCTATTGCACTCCAGCCTGGCTAATAGATCAAGTTTTTATTGTAAAGAAAGAGATAGAGAGAGAGAGGAAACAGTAGCAGAAACAAGGAAGGAGGGAGGGAGCAAAGAAGAAAGGAAGACAGGAAGGAAGGAAAAAAGGCAGGCAGGAAGGCAGGCAGAAAAAGTTTTATCAATCTGGGGGAAAATTTACATTTTCATACACAGGAAGGTCAAAGGTCTCTAATCAGATTCAATCCAAGCAAGACTACACCAAGACATATTATTATCAAACTTTGAAAATTCAAGGACAAAAAGAGTATTCTGCAGCAAAAGAGCATCAAGACAAAAGAAGCATGTCACATATAAGGGAATTCCATTAATACTAGAAGCAGACATCACAGCAGAAACCTTACAGGCCAGGGAAGAGCGGGATGATATATTCAAGTGCTGAAAGGAAAAAAACAAAACATAACAAAAACTGTCAACCAAGAATACACAGCAAAGCTCTTCTACAGAAGGAAAAGAGAAAAGGACTTTTGCAGAGACACACACACACAAAGTCAAGAGTTCATTACTCTCAGAAGTGTCTTACAAGAAATGCTAAAGGAAGTTCTTTGGGCTGAAAGAAAAGGATGTTAATTAGTAACACAGAAACATAAGAAAGTTTGAAACTCACTAGTAAAAGTAAGTACAAAAAGTTTAAGTCAAAAGTAAGTACAAAAGTAAGTCAAATTTTAAAACTGTGGTGGTAGTGTTTAAGTAACATTTATTACAGTGGTTAAAACAAACTATTAAAAATAGTTAAAGCTGCAATAATTCATTAAGGGTTACACAATATAAAAAGCATCAAAAACATAAAGTGTGGGTGGGTAAAAATGTTGAATTTTTGTGTGTGATCACGGTTAAGTTGTATTCAAGTTAAAAAAACTTGCTGCAACTATAAGATATTTTATGTCAGCCTCCTGGTAACCACAAAGCAAAAACCTGTACTAGATATACAGAAGATACAAAGTAAGGAATCAAACCATGCCACTATAGAAAATTGCCTAATCACAAAGGAAGACGGAAAGAGAAGGAAGGAACAAAGGAAAACAAAGCTAGAAAGAATGAACTAAATGGCTGTAGTCAGGAAACAAAGCCAGAAAAGAATGAACTAAATGACTGTAGTCAGTCTTACCTGGCAACAATTACCTTAAATGTAAATAAATTAAACTATTCAATCAGAAGACATAGTGTGACTTAATGGATTATAAAAACCAGACCCAGCTCTGTGCTACACACAGGGAGCTCGCTTCACTTATAAGGACACACATAGACTGAAAGCAAAGGGATGGAAAAAAGATACTCTATGCAAAGGAAACCAATAAAAAGCAGAAGTAGCTGTACTTATACCAGATAAAATAGATTTTAAGTCCAGAACTGCCACAAGGGACAAAGTCAGTATGTAATGCTAAAGGGGGCTGGGCGCAGTGGCTCACACCTGTAATCCCAGCACTTTGAGAGGCCGAGGTGGGTGGATCATGAGGTCAGGAGTTCAAGACCAGCCTGACCAACATGGTGAAACCCCATCTCTACTAAAAAAATACAAAAAAATTAGTTGGGCATGGTGGCACGCCCCTGTAATCCCAGCTACTCAGGAGGCTGAGTCAAGAGAATCACTTGAACCCAGGAGGTGGAGGTTGCAGTGAGCTGAGATTGCACCACTGCACTCCAGCCTGGGCCACAGAGCAAGACTCCGTCTCAAAAAAAAAAAAGAAGGATAAAGGGGTCAGTTAACCAAGAGAATGTAACAGTTGTAAATATGTGTGCACCAAATGATGGAATATCTGAATATATAAGGCAAATACTAACAGATCTGAAGGGAGGGGGGGACTTAATAGGAGGGAAATTCTATATCCTATTTTCAGCAATAGACAGCTCATCCAGACAGAAAATCAGTAAGGAAAAATTAGACTTAAACTATATGTTAGACCAAATGGACCTACCAGACATAAACTGAACATTGCATCCAACAGCAGCAGAAGACACCTTTTTCAAAAACACACAGAGAACATTCTCCAGGATAGATGATATGTTAGGCCACAAAACAAGTCTTAATAAATTTAAGGAGATTGAAATCGTATCAGTTATACTTTCTGACCACAATGGTATGATTCTAGAAATCAGTAACTGAAGGAATTTTCAGAAAATTTGGCTGGGTGTGGTGGCTCACGCCTGTAATCCCAGCACTTTGGGAGGCCAAGGTGGGCAGATCACAAGATCAGGAGATCGAGACCATTCTGGACAACATGATGAAACCCCATCTCTTCTAAAATACAAAAATTAGCTGGGCATGGTGCACGCCTGCTGTCCCAGCTACTCGGGAGGCTGAGGTAGGGGAATTGCTTGAGCCCAGGAGGTAGAGATTGCAGTGAGCCAAGCTCGTGCCACTGCACTGCAGCCTGGTGACAGAGTGAGACTGTCTCAAAAAAAAAAAAAAAAAGAAAAAGAAAATTCAGAAATACATGGAAATGAAACAACATGCTCCTGAACAACCAGTGGGTCAAAGAAGAAATTTAAAGGGAAATTTTAAAATGTCTTTAGACAAACAAAAATTGACCCATGCCATATCAAGACACATGGGATACAGCAAAAGCAATTCTAAGTTTATAGCAATAATGGCCTACATCAGCAAGGAAGAATGATATCAAATAAACAACCAAAGATTACACCCCAAGGAACTAGAATAACAAGAACAAACTAAGCTCAAAGTTAAAGAAGGAAAGAAATAATAAAGATCAGAGCAGAAACAAATAAAATACAGACTAGAAAAACAATAAAAAAAATCCATAAAAGTCAGGTTTTAAAAAATATATAAATATATATAAAAATATAACATATAAACAAAATAGACAAATCTTTAAGAAAAAAGTCTCAAAATCAGAAATGAAAGAGGCAACATTACAACCAATATTACAGAAATACAAAGGATCTTAACAGACTACTATGAATAAGTATACCTCAACAAATTGGACAACCTAGAAGTGGATAAATTTCTGGACATATACAACCTGCCAAAACTGAACCATAAAAAAAGAAAATCTGAGCAAACCAATAATGAACAATAAAATTGAATCAGTAGTAAAAAGCTCTAATTAAATAAAGACCTAGGCCCTGATGGCTTCACTGCTGAATTTTACCAGGCATTTAAAGAACTAATACTAATTATTCTCAAACACTGCCAAAAAATGGAAGAGAAGGGAATACTTTCAAACTCATTTTATAAAACCAGCATTACCCTGATACCAAACTCAGAAAGTACACTACAAAAAAAGACAATTATAGGCCAATATCCTCATGAGCATAAATGCAAAAACTCTATGAAATTTTAGCAAACCAAATTCAACAGCATATTAGAAAGATCATTCATGATAATCAAGTGAGATTTATCTGTGGGATGAATTGATGGTCCAATATAGGCAAATCTATAAATGTAACGTATCATGTTAATAGAACAAAGGACAAAAAACATATGATTATCTCAATGGACACAGCAGAAGCATTTGACAAAATGTCTAACAACCTTTTATTCTAAAATCTCTCAACATATTGGTTGTAAAGAGGACAATATAGCTCGACAAAATAAGGGTCACATATGACAAACCCTCAGCTAACATCTTATTCAGTGGTGAAAAGTTGAAAACTCTTCCTCTGAGATCCAAACAAGACAAGGATGCCCACTATCACCACTTCTTTCAACACAGTACTGAAAGTTCTATCCAGAGCAATTAGACAAGAAAAAGAAAAAAAATCCAAATTTGAAGAAAACAGAATTTAAATTGTCCCTCTTTGCAGATGACATGATCTTATATATAGAAAGCCCTAAAGACTTCAACAAAAAATTATTAGAACTAATGCATAAATTTCAGGCCAGGCATGATGGCTTATGCTTGTAATCTCAGCACTTTGGGAGGCCAAAGTAGGAAGATCACTTGACTCCAGTGGTTTGAGACCTGGGCAACATGGCAAGACCCCCATTTCTACAAAAAAATAAACAACGAGCTGGGCATGGTGGCATGTGCCTGTGGTCCCAGATACTCAGGAGGCTGAGGTGGGAGGATCACTTGAGCCTAGGAGGTTCAGGCGGCAGTGAGCTGTGATAGTGCCACTGCACTCCAGCCTGGATGACAGAACAAGACTCTCAAAAGAAAATAACCCCAAATAACTAATAAATAAATTCAATAAAGTTACAGTACAACATCAACAGAAAAATCAGTTATGTGGTCTATATACTAATAATGAAGTGTCTGAAAAAGAAATCAAGAAAATAATCCAATAAGATACTTACGAATAAATTTAACCAAGGTAGTGAAAGAGTTGTACACTGAGGTTTACAGAATTTTATAGTAGACTATAAAATATTGATGAAAGAACTTAAAGATGACAGGAATCGAAAGATATCCCCATGTTCATGGATTGGAAGAATTAATATTAAAATATTCATAATACCTAAGGTGATCTACAGATTCAGTGCATTACCTATGAAAATTCTAATGACATTTTCCACATAAATAGAGAAAATGATCCTAAAATTTGTGTGTAACCACAAAGGACCTCCAATAACCAAAGCAATCTTGAGCGTAAAGAACAAAGCTGGAGGTATCACACTATCTGACATCAAAATGTACTACAAAGCTGTAGCAATCAAAATAGCATGGTACTGACATAAAAAACAGACACATACATAGACCAATGGAACACAATAGAGAGCCCAGAACTAAATCCAGGCATTTATTGTCTGTTGATTTTTGACAGAGGTGCTAAGAATACACAATGAAGAAAGTTTAGTTTCTTCAGTAAATGGTATTGGGTAAGTGGGATATACATGCACAACAGAATGAAATTAGACCCTTATCTCACACTATATGCAAAAATCAACACAAAATGGATTAAAGAGTTAAACTTATGACCCATAACTGTGAAACTACTAAGAGAAAACACAGGGGAAAAGCTCCATGATATTGGTCTAGGAAATCATTTTCTGGATACAACCCCAAAAGCATTGGCAATAAAAGCAAAATTAGACAGATGAGGTTATTTCAAACTAATTTTCTGCACCACATAGGAAACAATCAGCAGAGTAAAAAGACAACCTATGGGATCGGAGGAAATATTTTCAAACAATACATCTGATAAGGGGTTAATATTTAAAATACATAGGCAACTCAAACATCTCAATAGCAAGAAAACAAATAACTGTGCTTTTTAAAAATGGGCAAAAGACCTGAAAAGACATTTCTCAAGAAAGATATATGCCTGGCCAACAGGTATATGAAAAAATGCTCAATATCACAAATCATCGGGGAAATGCAAGTTAGAACCACAATGAGATATCACCTCGTACTTGTTAGAATGGTTATTATCAAAAAGACAAAAGATAACAAGTGTCGATGAAGATGTGAAGAAAAGAGGATCCCTGTATACTGTTGGTGGCAATGTAAATTTGTATATCCATTATGGAAAGCAGTAGGGAGGTTCCTCAAAAAATCAAAAATAGAATTACCAAATGATTCAGCAATCCCACTATTGTGTATGTATCCAAAGGAAATTAAATCAGTATGTCTTTTAGATATCTGTACAACCATGTTCATTGCAGTATTATTCATAATAGCCAAGATTTGGAATCAACTGAAGTGTCCATCTGTGGATGAATGGATAAAGAAAATGTGGTGTACATACACAATGGAATGCTATTTGGCCATAAAATAAAAGAAATCCTATTTATTTGTGAGAACATAGATGAACCTGGAGGACATTATGTTCGGTGTAATAAGTCAGGCACAGAAAGACCAATACTACAGGATCCAGCTTATATGTGGAGTCTAAAAATGTTGAGCCCATAGAAGCAGAAGGTGGAATAGTTGTTACCAGGGACTAGCGAGTTTGGGAGTTGGGGAGATGTTGGTCAAAGGATACAAAATTTCAGTTATGTAGGAGGAATAAGTTCAAGAAATCTATCGCACAAAATGGTGACTATAGTTAATAACAAAGTACTGTGTTCTTGAAAATTGCTGAGAATAGATTTTTAGTTTTCTCACCACAAAAATAAGTATGTGAGGTAATGCATATTTAATTAGCTTGATGTACTCATTCAATTATGTATGCATGTTTCAAAACATCAAGTTGTACATAGTGCATACATATTTTATTCATCAAATTTAAAAAAATTAATTTTCATAAAAGGATAAGCAGTACAACTGGCAACAAGAAATTGAAAAAGGAGTTAGTCTTACCAATTAGAAAAATACCTAGAGGCTGGACGCGGTGGCTCAGGCCTGTAATTCCAGCACTTTGAGAGGCTGAGTTGGGCAGATCACCTGAGGTCAGGAGTTTGAGAGCAGCCTAGCTAACGTGGTGAAACCCTGTCTCTACTAAAAATACAGAAATTAGCTGGGTGTGGTGGCGTGCTCCTGTAATTCCAGCTACTTGGTACGCTGAGGCAGGAGAATCTCTTGAACCCTGGAGGTGGAGGTTGCAGTGAGACAAGATTGCGCCACTGCACTCCAGCCTGAGTGACAGAGTGAGTGAGAGTCTGTCTCAAAAAAAAAAAAAAGTACATAATAAAGGTTGATTCTAGATTTTAGTATGCTTGATATTAATAGCAGTGGAAAAAATAGTATTCACTAACAAATTCAAATATATATGCTGATAAAAGATGTGGCATTTTAAATTAGTAAGAAAAAAATTAATAAATGGTACTGGGGAAGCTAGGTATCCCTCAGGAAAAAATTAATAAAACTGGACCATTACCCTATTCCTTGCGTCAAAGTAGATTGTAGATGAATTAAAGATTTTAAAGTAGCCACAGAAACAGTTCTAGAAGATTCTGGGAGAGGTTTGCATATATAATGTGGGAGCGGGCATGTATTTCTATGCAAGATGTAAAACCAAGACCACATTAAAGAGACTAATAAATGAAATTATTTGAAACTTACCAGAAGATATCAATTTATAAATGGGAAATAATATTTTAATATACATGACACAGTTTTTTTGTAAAGTGCTCTTACACATCAATGGATAAAGATTAAGAAAAGCAATGTAAAATTGAGAAGGATTGATAAGCATTCCACATGAAGAAAAAATAGTTCATAAATTTATGAGATAATGCTTGGCGCGGTGGCTCACACCCGTAATCCCAGCACTTTGGAAGGCCGAGGTGGGCAGATCACGAGGTCAGGAGATCAAGACCATCCTGGCTAACCCGGTGAAACCCCATCTCTACTAAAAATACAAAAAATTAGCCAGGTGTGGTGGCGGGCGCCTGTAGTCCCAGCTACTCAGGAAGCTGAGGAAGGAGAATGCTGTGAACCCGGGAGGTGGAGCTTGCAGTGAGCCAAGATTGCGCCACTGCACTCCAGCCTGGGCGACAGAGCAAGACTCCGTCTCAAATAATAATAATAGTAATAATAATAATAAAATTCATGAGATAATATTCAACCTTGTTTATAAGTTAAAGAAATGCAAATTAAAACAGCAGTGAGGTACTACTCAGTTTATTAGAACAACTAAAACATTTACTGAGGCTGTGTTGCTTAGGACATTACTTTCAACTATACTTTCATAGTTAATGCATTAAATTTAAAGTCTCTTAAAATTAAATAGTATGCAAACATGCAATATTATGGATATTATTGCTCAGCATAATGCTCAGGTTAAAAATAATCAGTTTTAAGAATAAATTTAAGTATGAAGACATTATGTATCTTGAGTGCTTACTGTGCACCAAACATGATTCTTTGTGCTTTGTATATATTAAAATCCTCGCAGAACTCTATGAGCTAGATACTAATATTCTTCCCAGATGAAAACAAGGAAAGCAAAAAGACAGGCTTTATTTATTTGCCCCAATTATAGAGCTAGTTAGTGGTAGCACAATAATTTGAACCCAAGTGGCCTGGCTGCAGAATCTTTACTCACAACCCCTCACCACATCTGGGAATGTTTTAGGTCTGTTTCATGTGTGCACATGAAAAGGTAAAACTCAGATGATTCAATTTCAGGAACTGGTGCCTTTTTATGAATATGATTTCTTGAAGAACCATTTGGCACTATCTATAAAATTAAAGTTCCAAAAAATGATCAACTTGCAGTGTAGTGAATGGAGGTAATGCAAAAAGAGTGATGCTTTCAGTTTCTCTCAATGTATAGTTTACGTTAAGCAGCAATGCTACTTCTAGGAATTTATCCCACAGTCATAGTGTAATATATGCATATGTGCATGAAGAGATTAACTAACATTTTATGAATATAATGGTAAATATGTTAGTACAGTTCTCTTGCAGTGGTCATGGTACATTTATACTCTGGAATAGCATGCAGCCTTGAGAAATAATGAGGTAAACATACTTGCTGTGAATGAACTTCAAGATATTTTTCTAAAATCAAAGAATAAGGTAAGATATTCTCCCATTTGAAATTCCCACAATGAATATATGTATATATATATATATATATGTATATATATATATACTCATGTAAATATGAAATATTTCTAGAAGGACATATAAGAAAAATCATAGCATTTTTTCCCTCTGGGTAATGGGAATGGGATAAAAATATAAAATGGATGTAGATATGGTTTGAACTATGTGAATCGTATGGCTTTTCAATTAAAAACAAACTGAAATAAATGTAAAAAAAATAATAAGTAGTGATTTTAATGCAGTTCTTTTTCCCATTGAAATTTCTCCAGGATGAAAGCCAATCGCTAAAGCTCAGTATACTGATATAAAACCTGAAAGTGAACATCAAGACCTTATCTTGATGTGAGAGTGAAGGGCAGTGGCTGGGATGTGTGGGCATCAGTGTACTGGTAAGAAGAAAGACTTTCATGGGCTTTCAAATGCGAAGGAACAGCCTGGATGTCAGGAGGAGTCCCAGCTAGGGAGGTCATTTGGTATAGCACAGAAGGAGCTTATTAGATTAAAAAACAACAACAGCGGCTACAAAACTGTATCTCAAGTTAAAAGTCATCCTAACTTTGTAACATTTATTAGTGGATGTAACCCGATAGAAATAAATAGCCTTCAAATTCTAGTTGTAATATTTATTTTAGTGGTGTTTTTAAAATTAATGAGTCTTTTTTTCCCATGTTTAATGTTGAATGAATGATACTTATTCATGTCCTGGGTCATCAGTCCTTGACCATCACGTGATGTGGTGCAGACAGCACCTGGCTAAGAGTAACTAACTGAGTGCTGTTTCTAAAATAGCCCCTAACAAACACCTGGCCAAGTACTAGGTGCTCAACACCTGTGAGCTTCCTCACCTTCGATTACAAAATGCAGGGTGGATGTGGAATCCAGTCACGCACTATAAGGCTGAACCTCGTGAATGTGCTGATATCTAAGTATCTTGACCTACAAAAACAGCAATTTCATATGATCAAGCTAATAAATATACTTTGACTTTCAGGTTTAAAATCACCCATTTCTGCAGCAAAACTAAAGGGAGGGCAACACCAGTTTTCCACAGGGGCAGCTGCAGTTCAGACTAACAAGTTCCTATCTAAGTTCTCCTCATTTTTAAATTCACATGGTGTAACTATTTCTCATGCTAAGATTTTATGAGTGTGTGCAAACACACACACACACACGCACAGAAGTGCTGCAACAAGCTACAATGAAGAAATCCCAAAGTAGACTGAACAATGGGTAATCTACAATAAGGAAGCAGAATGATGTAAAGCTTAATATTTTATTGTGCTCTAAAGTAGTATTGAAGTTCAAAATAAGTTAGCTTTGCTCAGTCCTCCACTTTCTCATCAAACCTTTGTGTTGATATACGCCCAGAGTTCTCACAGGGGATCCATTTGGAAGGGGAAAATGCATCAATACAAGTCTGCCATGGTTTGGGTGGGTGTGCTGGGTAAACCTTGTGAAGAAAGGCAGCGCATCGCTGTCTCAAAATATATGGCTTTGCTGTTGGAGCAGCCCGCTCTGTCTGCGACTTTAATCCGGCTTTCTTCTAGGATGGCTTCCTTTTTGCATTTCAGCTGCTGACTCGGTTTCTAAGTTGCTGCTACTAGTCAGTCACTAGAGTTTTGCATCTTTACTCTCATGACCATTTCTCCAGTTCTTGCTTTCCTTTGGTGTCAGGTATCACCCCCAAACGTTTGTCATCTCATCACCTCTGAATTAGGTCCTTTGACCAAGAGTAAAGCCATGTGTTTGCCAACTGGTCTCCGCCTCAGAAATATTTACTAATTTCTCTTCTGTCATGTGAATGACTTCTGAGATGGCTCCATATCCAGATGCCTTTCTGAATTACCATGAGATACAATGGCTTGTCTACTCTTTGCCTGCCAGTATTTGAAACTCAGTTATTTTCCATTCTATCTTACAATTATTCTATGCTGGCCTTTCCCCCAAATTATACGTATGACATCAATTCATGACAAATCTAATTTTATATGCCACTGGCTAAAACATGTCATTTAGGCTATCTTTACATTCAGAATATTATTGCTCATTTCAGATTGTGAATTCCTAATATATGAGTCCCTTTATCAGAAGCATTTGAACCATCTTGCGTAGGGGCTGGGAACACTGAGGCTGAGACCTGTTGGGCTCCATTCCTAGGAGGTTAAGGTATTCTTAGTCACAGGATGAGACAGGAGGTCGGCGCAAGATACAGGTCACAAATACCTTGCTGATAAAACAGGATACGGTAAAGAAGCTGGCCAAATCCCACCAAAACCAAGAAGGCTATGAGAGTGACCTCTGGTCATCCTTATTGCTCAGTATAAGTTAATTATAATTCATTAGCATGCTAAAAGACACTTCCACCAGCGCCATGACAGTTTACAAATGCCATGGCAACGTCCAGAAGTTACGCTATGTGGTCTAAAGTGGGGAGGAACCCTCAGTTCTGGGAATTGCCTGCCCCTTTCTTGGAACACTCATGAATAATCCACCCCTTGTTTAGCATATAATAAAGAAATAACTATATTTATCTGAGCAGCCCATGCTGCTGCTCTGCCTCTGGAGTAGCCATTCTTTCATTCCTTTACTTTCTTAATAAACTTGCTTTCACTTTCTGGACTTGTCCCAATTTGTTTCTTGCACAAGGTCCAAGAACCCTTTTTTGGGGTCTGGATCGGGACCCCTTTCGGGTAACACTTTGTTTTATTTCCTCATATGGATAGATTCTTAAATCATCTCCACAATGAATATTTTCCTAATACTTTAAAATATAATATGGATAAGAATAAATATTAATAATGCTATATTCTTAATGACTCTCTTTTTGATTAAAACGTAATATCATATCTCGTTCCATCACTGCTGGATTACCTTACAGAGGTTTCTGCTTATAAAGAGACATGCATTTCTCAAGGAAAACTCTCCCTCATAAATAGCAGGACCTGAACAACATGGCTTCTCTCTCATCCGCGTTTCCATTTCCTGTCTAAATAGGCTTTGCATAAAATCCTTTGTTTATTGCGTTAGAAATATATTCTTCCTTTCGCAGATGTCCTTGTGGAATAACCTTTGGTGCTGTGGAAAAGATTCACGTGTCAAGACACTAGTTCTGAAGTAGCCGATTGGTGTCAAGCATGAGAATAAAAGATGGGCATTAAAAACATTAGCACTTAACCTCAGTCAGGATTTTGTCTGTGAAACAGGAAAAATAGAAGAGAAGTCAGATTTGATCTGCATTCTGAAAATGAGAATTTTTTTATATTTAAACTCCTCTTATTTTGTATTCCTTAATGTTCTTATTAATCATTCATATCAAATGGCTTGTCTTTCTTTCAGAGCCTTGAACATTTTAAAGACACCATGTCATTCTTTTTACAAGAGAGAGAAAAAATTACGCAGTTGAAAGAGTTCCCAAGGGAGCTATTGTGCTACACGCTGGCAAAAGTTTTATTAGCTAAACTTCTGACTGAAAGGAAAAATAAATTCAGGTTTAGGAACGGCTTCTATTTATTGTAAGGAAGTTTACAAAAATTACTGAAAAATATCCCAAGAACACAATGTAAATTTACTCTGGTGGTATTTTTTCCATCCTTGCTTCTCCAAAATAATAAAAAAAGTTAAACGGCCAATAAATTTACATTAACAGTCAATTGTCTACCCTTGAATCAGAATGAATTCATTACTTCGGTAATTAATTAAGCAAGCTCAAATGAAAACTAGGTTCTCCTGAAGAGCTTGCATGTCAGTATTGTCAAGTCACAGTTAAAACATCTCTAAACAGAGAAATTAGCCCTATCACATCTCATTAATTTGTACTATGGGTTTCTTTTATTGTTCTATTTAGAATCTTAATACTAAGATTTTTTTTCTTCATCTGAGCTAAATTCCTTAAGCTATGACACAAAATCTTTTGCGAAAATTATTTCTGAAAGGAAACTGCATTTGTGTGCTGTGACCGGGCAGAGTAAGCTGTAGCTACCTCTGAGTTCAGGTTCAGGAATATGCATTTCTTATCCTTCCCAAATCTTTTTTCATGTTACCTGCTTTGGGCATTGTTTGGAGCTTCTGGTTGCCAGAGGTCCTGTAGGATCACATCTTAGATCAAGGCAGGCCTACCTTCCAGAGCTGCAGAACACTGGGTACTGAGCTGGTCATCCTCACCCTTTCTCTCTTCTCTTCTCTTCTCTTCTTTCCTCTCCTTCCTCTCATCTCCTCTATCCCTTCCCCTCTGTGGATCCTTACCCTCCAGCTCCTTGGGTTGTGGCACCAAAAACGTGGCTGGATCTGGTACCCAAGCTAATGTGGTAGAGGAAAATAATTAGTGAAAACCATCAGCACACTCCCTCTGTTCTGGCTTCTTTGTGCATTTTAACAGTGGAGTCTGGAAATAATAGTCCCACTTCAGCTATTTAACCCAAGACTGACTGGAATGCTAGGAATGTCAAATCAGGTAGGGCAGAATTTTGTCATCAGAGCAAGCAAATGTCAGGTGAACTGGAAGACAAAGCAGGACGTAGGTAAGAATGCAGATTCTGAGTCAAATCAGTTGGGTTCAAATACTGGCTTCATTTGCTAGCTGTATGAACTTGGACTAGCTGATTAACCACTTTGTACCTTGTTTCTTCATCTATATAGTAGGTGTTATTATAGAACATACATTATAGGATTATTGTGAAAATGAAAACAAAATAATCTATAAATTAGTGATAGATCGGAGGTCATCAGTAAATTGATGAATGGATAAGAGTAGATGCCTGATTGCAGAGGACTGAGGAGAGGAAATGAGTTAATGAAAAGGAGAGAGCAAATGATGAATACTTTCTGTAGAAGTCGGGATGCTTAGAAAAAGAGAGTGGGACAGCAGTAGCAAGAGGGACATCGGGCAGGAGACAGTGTGAAGTGGAAGCTAGAGCGACTAGAGCCTGGTCACTGCCAGGGATGCTGGTGGAACTCCCATGCCCATCAACAGCTTGGAGACAGAAGAAACTCACAGAGTAGCTGAGGGGCAACGTCCCAGAGGGATGGCAGGGAAAAGGATCCAGAACACAGAAGACACTGAAAAACAGTGATGTTTTCTGAAACAGGAGGAAAATAGCTAATTATATACGCTTTATTTTAAATTTCTGAAAGGGAGTTTATAGCTGTTTCTTATCTACTTGATGTTCAGAAGATTCAAGCTCTGTGATATGAGTGATGAAGGATCAGGTGCTGTGGCTCATACCTGTAATCCCAACACTATGGTAGGCTGAGGCAGGCAGATCCCTTGAGTGCAGGAGTCTGAGACCAGCCTGGGCAACACAGTGAGACCCCTGTCTCTACAAAAAAATACAAAAATTACCTAGTTGTAGTGGTGTGTGCCTGTAGTCCCAACTACTCGGAAAACTAAGGAAGATTGCTTGAGTCTGGAAGATCGAGGCTGCAATGAGCTGTGATCGAGCCAGTGCACTCCAGCCTGGGTGACAAAGCAAGAGCCTGTCTCAAAAACAAACAAACAAACAAAAAAGTGATAAGGGAAAAGTGGAATTAAGGTAGGAAATGTTTATGTGTGTGTAGTAGAGGATGTGGAATGGAAAAAGATTTTGACAGGGAACAACAAGAGTCCCTAGTAATAGTACATTTCTACACTGGAAACACCTGCCCAGACCACTTAAATCCGAACCTCAAGAGAGTAGGAACTAAGCAGTATGTTAAAGAATCCACCTGATGATTCCCATATTCATTCAAGGCTAAGGACCATTGTCCTCGTAGCATACAGACCCCAGGATGGAGACCATGAATAGGGACCACACCCGCACAGCTGGGGGGTTTTCCCCAGCAATAGTCAGCTGTTTGCAGAACCTGTGAAGGCAACTGAGAAGACTGACCTAGAATTAGCATCTGCAGGTATGCCGACATTGAGGATTTGGCTACATAAATGCTAACAAATTGGCAAAAGAGTCTGGAAAAAAAGGTACCATGCTGTTTGGGCAATGTGGAGAGGACAATTAGATCAAGAGAGGCTGATAATGAAAATCAGAAAGAGTCAGCATGTCAAAGAAGCTATAGTGTGGGAGTGAGAGATCTGGGAATATCTAGAGGTGTACAGTCAACAGAGAGTTTAAATAAGATTTCAAAGATGGTGCCCCCATCCCAGGTGGTGATGAGGTTGGCCATGGGAATGAGGCTGAAGTGAAGCAGCTGGAGCTCATTTGCATCAGGGAACTTGAAGTCAAAGGATCTTATTGGTATTCCTCAAGGATGTTCATATTGTGGCTTTGGGATAGAGGAGATGGTGATAAGTGTAAGGGAATGACTCGGAGTTTAGAAAATGAATTACAATGGCCAGGAAGGGTAGAGGGAGCTATAGTCAAATGATATTTAAGAGAAGAGATAACTTTCTCATTGTGTTAGTTCAGTTACTTTTGTGAGGAGGTGCAATGTTATGAAATCAAAGGAGATTGGTGAAAATGTATCCAGACCCCACCACAAATAAGATGAGGGGAAATGAGGAAACTGCATTCCTGAGTGTTACAAGGGCAGGGGTGTCCAAAAGGAAGACCTGAGTTTTAATCAAGGTGTAGATCAGTGTCTGACACCCAATATAACTGAGTATTTATTGTGTACCAGGTGAGATTTTTAGAATTTTAGCTGCATTCTATTATTTACTTTTTCATCATTAACTTGGGATGAAGAAATACAACTTTAGAGAGGCTCAGTAATGAGCTCATGTCACACAAGCAGAGCCTGTACCAGAAACCTTGGGCTGCCCACCTGGGGAGCCAGTCTCAATTTCTAGGCTACACCAGAATATTCTCAGATAAGATTAAAGTAGTCTTTTTTCTTCCTTCTTTCCTCCCCTCAACCTCATCCCCCTTCCCTCTCTCCTTTCTTTTTCCTTTCCCTCCCTTCCCTTCCCCTCCCCTCCTTTTCCCTTCCCTTCTTTATGAGGGTCAAAGAGTGCACAGAAAAAAAACTGTGGGGAAGGAAGAAGAGTAGTGGGGAGTGCATGGGCGGATGGGAGTGTAGAGAGCCCAGAAAAGGACAGATTGATCTGAGGATCAACGGCATACGATTTGAAGACATGTCCGGGGATGATAGGGATGAGAGGCCTGGGGGAATGGCTGCTCTCGGGTCTCTGATTGGAATTCTGGAGTGATGTGGTTTTGCTGCCATCCCAGCCCAGAACGTGTCTCTCTTCAGGGTTCCACACAGAAACATTAATCCCTAACTGTTTGGCACGCTGTGGATTCTATGGATTCTGTCTCCCTGGTGGGAGTGAGGGCGATGATCAGGCACAGATGTTCCCCCTCAGGTTTGGAATTTATCAGTGAGGACGAATTTAGTGCTGGGCAAAATGCATTTCCTGCCTTTTAAAGGAATATGGATTTGCTCAGCTGAGGACTCCAGGGCACTTTCATGCAGAAGGGGCAGGAGACTTAGTTCCAGGCCCAAGTTCTTTTCCCTCTGAGTCATAGGAACCCCCTCCTCCTTTCTAGTCCCTCTGGCATTTTGTCCTCTAAAGAAATCTGAACCCAAGTGGTTGGTCCTAAAACACTATCACAAACAGAGAACCAACCGAGAGAGGGAGAAAGGATGAAAAGGAGATGCAGGTGAGAGGGGCGAGGGGCAGGGTGCTGGTGCAGTTCACACCAGAAGGAAGGAAGGAAGGAAGGAAGGGAGGAAGGGGCAGAAGGGGGGAGGGGGGAAGGGGGAGGGAGAAGGGAGGAGTGGGAGAGGGGAGTGGGGGAGGGAGGGAGGGAGGGAAGGAAGGGAAGGAAGGAAGTCTGAATGTTTTCATCTCACCCCACCCTTCTCCAGGCTGGAGGCTGCAGAACTCGACTAGACTCATTTCTTTCTATTTATAATTTGCTATGTCATTTTAAAATTTAATTTTTAATTTATCTTCCCATTTAAACTTAATTTGGGATTGAATTTGCTTTGGTTTTGCTTTCTGCTTTTTTCCTCCTGATTTTAGCTTTAGTCACCAGTTACTTCTTATTATTGACATTTTACTTTGTATGCTGAAGGCTAATTTTCTACCTTCATTCAAAGTCTGAACCCTGCAGCGATGCCAAATAATACGGAGAAGTCTGATTGTCCTTTATAAAAACAGCAAAACTTTTTAAGTTAAATCACATTCACCTTGAAAGAAATCATGTGCTCAATAAACCCTGAGAACTGCGGCCCCAGGGACTCACCGTGCCCACATTTTAGTTGTATTTTCACATGCAGATTAATGAATGTGACTAACATCTCATAACTCGTATTTTAAAATGTAATACAGTATTTAATATACATTGCATAGGAAGACTGAACCGTGGCTTACGTTGATGAGTACTGTGAGAAACAAATTCTACATTGGGGTGAAAATGAATAAAATTAGAAGTTGGGACTGAGAAGGACTGCAAGCTGCTGTGAGCAAGTGAACAGGAAACTGACCCTCTGCAGACTTGAGTAGGACCAGACACAACTCTTCTAGAAAGACAGAGTAGGAAAACATCTTCCTTTTTCAAAGTGTATGTAGTTAGAGCCCCCCACCCAATGCATTTTCTTCCATTATTACCTATTTTTTAATATTCTATTTTTCAATCTAATTTCCCTTTTCCAGAGTGGAAAAACAACATTTAACTCTGGGAGAGTTTTAGTGTAATTTTGAAATCTGTTAAGCTTGCTGAAAGTTAAAAAGAAGGGAACATATTTTAAAATTTACATTTTGCTGCGTGGTTTCTGTGGTATGTGTAGGCCTGTTGGCTATGAAACACCCAGCTGCTATCACCTTTCAAACTCCTTTGTGAATTTATTAGAGCAAGACCCAAGAAACAAAAACAAAACCTTGTCTTCCTTGTTTTCTTTCAACCTTGCTTCATCCCAAAGTGTACTTGAAATGGAAATCATTTGAATTTTCCACAGTGCATTATGTTTACTGATATCTATACATCTTCCCTCAGATAAGATCCTAGGAGTAATCACCATTACCTCCATTTTGCAAATGAAGATGGGAAATTCAAGGGGGATGAGTGATTTACATCATACTTGGAATTGTGACAGGTCTTGAACTCTGGTTTATTTAGATCTTCAAGTTAAAAACCCTTCCCCCCAACCCTGCCTCACCACAGAATCCAGCACTGCCTCCCTCAGTTTATAAGTAGGTGACATGTGGACAGAAAGATTCTGGAAACTCCTGGTTTCTCAGGGTGGCAGGATTTTCTACTGGAAGTTTCTCACAGGCCGGTCCTTGTGTGGTTTGCAAAGTGAGCCCACAGCACTGACTATGGGGAGGAAGACGGGGACAACAGCTCGGTGGGAAATGAAAGCAGCAGAGAATTCTGACTGTCCTCCATCTACCCCATGGCTGTCCTGCAGCTGCAGGACTCTGTTGGACAGTTCCAGTGGCCCCTGTTGTTCTCCCAGTTGCTCCAACTTGGAAGACGGAATCCCAGAGGACAGGTTGCTATTGGGCCTCTAAGCTCCTCACAGCACTGAGGACCTACAGAAAGTTCAGTGACAGGAAAGTCTGAGCCCCACCGAGATGATATTAAAGATGCAGATTGCTATTCTGTGTTTAACTGAATCTTCAAGGTGTGAATGTCAAGCTGAAAATGACATGCCAATATTAAGACATTAGACCAACTCAGTTTGTGATTTTAAAAATTATACCATTTTTTGTTTATCCATTCCACTCATCAGTGGACATTTGGGTTATTTCCACATCTTGGCTATTGTGGATAATGCTGCAGTGAACATAGGAGGGCCAATATTTCTTTAACATCTTCATTTTATATTGGGGGGGTGTATATACCCGAAAGTAAGATTGCTGGATCATATGATAGTTCTATTTTTAATCTTTTGAGGATTTGCCATAATGTTTTCCATTGCAGCTGCACCATTTACATTCCCATCAATGGTGCAAAAGGGGTTCCTTTTTTTCACATCCTTGCCAACACTTGCTATCTCTTTCGAAATAAATTTCAGTTAAACAAGTTCTAGCGATCTGCTGTACAAAACTGTGCCTATAGTTAATGGTACTGTATTGTTTAAGATGATAGATTTCATGTTGAGTTTCTTACAATAAAAATAATTATGCCATAAAATATGCATAAGACTTTTTCAATGAATGTAATACTCAAAATCTGCAATGGAAATGCTTCTTAGCAACAAGGGACCAATAGGAGGATTATATCCTTTCATTCTTCAGCTATACTTAAAGTGGGTATTTAGAGTTGAAAAATAATCAGTGTATTTTCACTGTTTTTATTTGGAGTCACTACACAAACAGCTATAAAATTTTGAAGAAAAATAGGCTTATGCAGAAGTATAGAGAGGAAAGATTACATACATCCACAGACCTGACTCCTAGCAAGCGCAACTTGTAAAGTATGAAACAGCTTATATGTTACGAGTGTAATTATAAATTGGCAAAATGTCCTTTTTATCACACTCCAGTACATTTTTATTGCTTTCAGCTTGCTCAAGGTTTTATATTGCTCAGGATTTTTCTCTGAAATGTACTTGGAGGAGAGAGCTATACATCGTAAAGCCATACACTATCTTAGAAACCCTTACCTCCTGAACCACTTCTTCTGGCACAGGCTTTATCCTTTTCCTTTTCTTGTTAAGTCCACAGAACCATCTCAGGGCAAAATGGTGAAGTGGGCCAACGTAGTCTTTTCTAGTTCTCTGTGTGTTTCACCCATTCACCGATCTGAATTTCTTCGGACCCCGTCTGAGTCGGTTGTCCTCAGGAGTCGTGTAAACTCTCTGGGCCCCAGCCTGTGCGCTCCTTGTTTCCTAGTCCAGGGAGTGCCGGTGTTCTGGTTTAATAAACATCCTGGACAAATGAATGAAAAAGGCACTAACTGATAAGAATCCCCATAAAAGGCTATTTAAACTTTAATAATGAACTTTAAAAGGCTTGTAGGCCCAAAACAATGAGTATTTTGATGGTGACAACTCAGATGTGAGAAATGGAGGTGATACCTTGAGAGAAAGTGACTGCAGTAGTCCCCAAATCCCTGGTGGATGCCAGAAACTGCAAACAGTGCTGAACCCTATATGTACTATGTTTTTTCTTATACATACACACCTGTGATGAAGTTGCTTTTATAAATGAGGCACAGAGATTAACAACAAGAACCACTAATAAAATAGAAAATTGTAGCAATATGCCAGCATCACTACTTGTGCACTTTGGAGCCGTTGTTGATTGAAATAAGAGTGATTTGAACACAAGCACTGTGATACCATGACAACCCACCTGATAACCCAGAGGGCTACTTAAGTGACTGATAGGTGGGTTGCTTATAGGGCATGGATATGCTGGACAAAGGGATGATTCACGTCCCATGCAGGACAGAGCAGGGTGACACGTGTTTTCATCACATTACTCAGGATAGTGAGCAATTTAAAACTTATGAATTGCTTATTTCTGAAATTTTCTATTTAATATTTTCAGGCTGTGATTAACCACGGGTAATTGAAACTATGGAAAGCGAGCGAAACTGCAGATAAGGGGAGACGACTGTATTTCTGATGTACTTCGAATTATACTTTAAAATTTGTCTATAGAAAATTGTTTGTGTTTATTCTTACAGACCTGTGGAACCAATTTTTAAATCTCCTAGGCAGGCTAAAATAATTGCTTTTGCTATCTCATTTTTTATAAACATTTATTTGTGAGATAAATCTTTACTTTTATCTTACAAATAAAAAAGATAAAGAGATAAAGAATATAATAAAATATATTTGCACTTCTAAAATTTGTATTATTAAGCTTTAAATAAAATACAGGAAAATAGTTCTACTATACTAAACTAAGGAATTTTCTTCTAAGCCTCAAATCTAAAAATCTATAAACTAATCTGAAAGAAAAGTAATGAAAATCAGGGCCAGGTACAGTGGCTCATGCCTGTAATCGCAGCACTTTGGGAGGCCAAGGCAGGTGGATCATCTGAACTTAGTAGTTCCAGACCAGCCTGGCCAACATGGTGAAACCCAGTCTCTACTAAAAATACAAAAATTAGCTGGGCGTGGTGGCAGGCATCTATAATCCCAGCTACTCGGGAGGCTAAGGCAGGAGAATCTCTTGAACCCAGGAGGCGGAGGTTGCAGTGAGCTGAGATCCCACCACTGCACTCCAACCTGGGCAAAGAGCGAGACTGTCTCAAAAAAAAAAAAAAAAGAATAAAAGAAAATATCAATATTTCTATATAAACTTGGGAATCATGCATTTCAGACAAATTTGGGTGAAGGTGATTATGGTTGTCATGACAATGAAATACTGACCATCTCTGAGCAAAGGGCTTAAGGAAGTATGTGGGAAGTGCTCAAAAACATAAGCTATGATTATGATGATGATGATGATTTGAATTTGAGAATATAATCCCATTTTCTTTGGGCTATTCAAAAACTAGCAAAAAGTCAATTAGTTAAAAAAATTTCATTTCAGAAATTAGTTTCTGTGGCCTAGAGGAAAAATACACTGTGTATTCTCATCAATCACTGATTTGAATGGACACTTAAAATACACCTCCATGTGCAGGTAAAAAGAAGTTACTCAATGGTGAGCAACCTTGTGGACTAGAAATACAGTCATCCCTGGATATCTGCGGGAGATTCATTCCAGGAGCCCCCCACCCCCAAAGATACCAACGTTCATGGATGCCCAAGTCCCTTATATAAAATGGTGTAGTTTTGTATGTAACCTTTGTACAGCCTCCTGTATACCTAAATCATCTCCAGATTACTAATAATACGATGCAAATGCTGTAAAAATAGTCGTTATACTATATTGTTTAAAGAATAATGGCAAGAAAAAAATGGTTGTGCATGTTCAACAAAGTCACAGCCATCCATTTTTTCCCCACTATTCTTAATCACAGTTGGATTCATGAGTGCAGAACACATGGATATGGAGGGCTGCTGAGTGTACTATATCCCTAGAAAGTTATTCTGAAATAGAGATAAGTAAGCGTAAATCTTACTCATATTTACAGGGTTGCAGCATTGTTTATAAGAGTGAAAATTGACAACTCTCTAATATCTAGAGGTTTATCTATCTAGAACAGGAAGATCATTTTAAATATATACCATCCAAAACTATGCAGATCTTTTTTTATATATACTTTAAGTTCTAGGGTACATGTGTACAACGTAGCAGGTTTGTTACATATGTATACATGTGCCATGTTGGTATGCTGCACCCATTAACTCCTCATTTACATCAGGTATATCTCCTAATGCTATCCCTCCTCCCACCACCCCACGACAGGCCCCAGTGTGTGATGTTCCCCATCCTGTGTCCAAGTGTTCTCATTGTTCAATTCCCACCTATGAGTGAGAACATGTGGTGTTTGCTTTTCTGTCCTTGCGATAGTTTGCTCAGAATGATGGTTTCCAGCTTCATCCATGTCCCTACAAAGGACATGAACTCATCATTTTTTATGGCTGCATTGTATTCCATGGTGTATAGGTGCCACATTTTCTTAATCCATTCTGTCATTGATGGACATTTGGGTTGGTTCCAAGTCTTTGCTATTGCAGATAGTGTCACAATAAACACACGTGCATGTGTCTTTATAGCAGCATGATTTATAATCCTCTGGGTATATACCCAGTAATGGGATGACTGGGTCAAATGGTATTTCTGGTTCTAGATCCTTGAGGAATTGCCACACTGTCTTCCACAATGGTTGAACTAGTTTACAGTCCCACCAACAGTGCAAAAGTGGTCCTATTTCTCCACATCCTCTCCAGCACCTGTTGTTTCCTGACTTTTTAATGATCACCATTCTAACTGGCGTGAGATGGTATCTCATTGTGGTTTTGATTTGCATTTCTCTGATGGCCAGTGATGATGGGCATTTTTTCATGTGTCTGTTGGCTGCATAAATGTCTTCTTTTGAGAAGTGTCTGTTCATATCCTTTGCCCACTTTCTGATGGGGTTGTTTGATTCTTCTTGTAAATTTGTTTAAATTCTTTGTAGATTCTGGATATTAGCCCTTTGTCAGATGGGTAGATTGCAAAAATTTTCTCCCATGTTGTAGGTTGCCTGTTCACTCTGATGGTAGTTTCTTTTACTCTGCAGAAGCTCTTTAGTTTAATTAGATCCCATTTGTCAATTTTGGCTTTAGTTGCCATTGCTTTTGGTGTTTTAGACATGAAGTCCTTGCCCACGCGTATGTCCTGAGTGGTATTGCCTAGGTTTTCTTCTAAGGTTTTTATGGTTTTAGGTCTAACATTTAAGTCTTTAATCCATCTTGCATTAATTTTTATATAAGATGTAAGGAAGGGATCCAGTTTCAGCTTTCTACATATGGCTAGCCAGTTTTCCCAGCACCATTTATTAAATAGGGAATCCTTTCCCCATTTCTTGTTTTTGTCAGGTATGTCAAAGATCAGATGGTTGTAGATATGCGGCATTATTCCTGAGGGCTCTGTTCTGTTCCATTGGTCTATATCTCTGTTTTGGTACCAGTACCATGCTGTTTTGGTTACTGTAGCCTTGTAGTATAGTTTGAAGTCAGGTAGCGTGATGCCTCCAGCTTTGTTCTTTTGGCTTAGTATTGTCTTATCAATGAGGGCTCTTCTTTGGTTCCAGATGAACTTTAAAGTAGTTTTTTCCAATTCTGTGAAGAAAGTCATTGGTAGCTTGATGGGGATGGCATTGAATCTATAAATTACCTTGGGCAGTATGGCCATTTTCACAATATTGATTCTTCTTATCCATGAGCATGGAATGTTCTTCCATTTGTTTGTGTCCTCTTTTATTTGGTTGAGCAGTGGTTTGTAGTTCTCCTTGAAGAGGTCCTTCACATCCCTTGTAAGTTGGATTCCTAGGTATTTTATCCTCTTTGAAGCAATTGTGAATGGGAGTTCACTCATGATTTGGCTCTCTGTTTGTCTGTTATTGGTGTATAAGAATGCTTGTGATTTTTGTACATTGATTTTGTATCCTGAGACTTTGCTGAAGTTGTTTATCAGCTTAAGGAGATTTTGGGCTGAGACAATGGGGTTTTCTAAATATACAATCATGTCGTCTGCAAACAGGGACAATTTGACTTCCTCTTTTCCTAACTGAATACTCTTTATTTCTTTCTCCTGCCTGATTGCCCTGGCCAGAACTTCCAACACTATGTTGAATAGGAGTGGTGAGAGAGGGCATCCCTGTCTTATGCCAGTTTTCAAAGGGAATGCTTCCAGTTTTTGCCCATCCAGTATGATATTGGCTGTGTGTTTGTCATAAATAGCTCTTATTATTTTGAGATAGGTCCCATCAATACGTAATTTATTGAGCGTTTTAGCATGAAGGTTGTTGAATTTTGTCAAAGGCCTTTTCTGCATCTATTGAGAGAATCATGAGGTTTTTGTCATTGGTTCTGTTTATATGCTGGATTATGTTTATTGATTTGTGTATGTTGAATCAGCCTTGCATCCCAGGGATGAGGCCCACTTGATCATGATGTATAAGCTTTTTGATGTGTTGCTGGATTTGGTTTGCCAGTATTTTATTGAGGATATTTGCAGCGATGTTCATCACGGTTATTGGTCTAAAATTCTCTTTTTTTGTTGTGTCTCTGCCAGGCATTGGTATCAGAATGATGCTGGCCTCATGAAATGAGTTAGGGAGGATTCCCTCTTTTTCTGTTGATTGGAATAGTTTCAGAAGGAATGGTATCAGCTCCTCCTTATACCTCTGGAAGAATTTGGCTGTGAATCTGTCTGGTCCTGGACTTGTTTTGGTTGGTAGGCTATTAATTATTGCCTCAATTTTAGAGCCTGTTATTAGTCTATTCAGGGATTCAACTTCTTCCTGGTTTAGTCTTGGGAGGATGTATGTGTTGAGGAATTTATCCATTTCTTCTAGATTTTCTAGTTTATTGGCATAGAGGTGTTTATAGTATTCTCTGATGGTAGTTTGTATCTCTGTGGGATTGGCGGTGATACCCCCTTTATCATTTTTATTGCATCTATTTGATTCTTCTCTCTTTTCTTCTTTATTAGTTTTGCTACCGGTCTGTCAATTTTGTTGATCTTTTCCAAAAACCAGTTCTTGGATTCATTGATTTTTTGAAGGATTTTTTTGTGTCTCCATCTCCTTCAGTTCTGCTCTGATCTTAGTTATTTCTTGCCTTCTGCTAGCTTTTGAATGTGTTTGCTCTTGCTTCTCTGGTTGTTTCAATTGTGATGTTAGGGTGTCAATTTTAGATCTTTCCTGCTTTCTTTTGTGGGCATTTAGTGCTGTAAATTTCCCTCTACACACTGCTTTAAATGTGTCCCAGAGATTCTGGTATTTTGTGTCTTTGTTCTCATTGGTGTCAAAGAACATCTTTATTCCTTCATTTCTCAATGTACCCAGTAGTCATTCAGGAGCAGATTGTTCAGTTTCCATGCAGTTGAGCGGTTTTCAGTGAGTTTCTTAATCCTGAGTTCTAGTTTGATTGCACTTTTACATTTGCTGAGGAGTACTTTACTTCAAACTATCTGGTCAGTTTTGGAATAAGTGCGATGTGGTGCTGAGAACAATATATTCTATTGATTTGGGGTGGAGAGTTCTGTAGATGTCTATTAGGTCTGCTTGGTGCAGAGCTGAGTTCAATTCCTGGATATCCTTTTTAACTTTCTGTCTTGTTGATCTGTCTAATGTTGACAGTGGTGTGTTAAAGTCTCCCATTATTATTGTGTGGGAGTCTAAGTCTCTGTAAGTCTCTAAGGACTTGCTTTATGAATCTGGGTGCTCCTGTATTGGGTGCATATATGTTTAGGATAGTTAGCTGTTCTTGTTGAATTGATCCCTTTACCGTTATGTAATGGCCTTCTTTGTCTCTTTTGATCTTTGTTGGTTTAAAGTCTGTTTTATCCGAGACTAGGATTGCAACCCCTGCTTTTTTTTTATTTTCCATTGCTTGGCAGATCTTCCTCCATCCCTTTATTTTGAGCCTATGTGTGTCTCTGCAGGTGAGATGGGTTTCCTGAATACAGCACACTGATGAGTCTTGACTCTTTATCCAATTTGCCAGTCTGTGTCTTTTAATTGGAGCATTTAGCCCATTTACATTTATGGTTAATATTGTTATGTGTGAATTTGATCCTATCATTATGATGTTAGCTGGTTATTTTGCTCGTTAGTTGATGCAGTTTCTTCCTGGCATCAATGGTCTTAAAAATTTGGCATATTTTTGCAGTGGCTGGTACCGGTTGTTCCTTTCCATGTTTAGTGCTTCCTTCAGGAGCTCTTGTAAGGCAGGTCTGGTGGTGACAAAATCTCTCAGCATTTGCTTGTCTGTAAAGGATTTTATTTCTCCCTCACTTATGAAGCTTAGTTTGGCTGGTTATGAAATTCTGGGTTGAAAATTCTTTTCTTTCAGAATGTTGAATATTGGCCCCCACCTCTTCTGGCTTGTAGAGTTTCTGCCAAGAGATCCGCTGTTAGTCTGATGGGCTTCCCTTTGTGGGTAACCCGACCTTTCTCTCTGGCTGCCCTTAATATTTTTTCCTTCATTTCAAATTTGGTGAATCTGACAATTATGTGTCTTGGATTTGGTCTTCTCGAGGAGTATCTTTGTGGCATTCTCTGTATTTCTTGAATTTGAATGTTGGTCTGCCTTGCTAGGTTGGGGAAGTTCTCCTGGATAATATCCTGCAGAGTGTTTTCCAACTTGGTTCCTTTCTCCCTGTCACTTTCAGGTACACCAATCAGACGTAGATTTGGTCTTTTCACATAGTCCCATATTTCTTGGAGGCTTTGTTCGTTTCTTTTTACTCTTTTTTCTCTAAACTTCTCTTCTTGCTTCATTTCATTCATTTGGTCTTCAGTCACTGATACCCTTTCTTCCAGTTGATCAAATCAGCTACTGAAGCTCGTACATGCGTCACGTGGTTCTTTTGCCATGGTTTCTGCTCCATCAGGTCATTTAAGGACTTCTCTACACTGTTTATTCTAGTTAGCCATTCGTGTAATCTTTTTTGAAGGTTTTTAGCTTCTTTGCAGTGGGTTCGAACATCCTCCTTTAGCTCAGAGAAGTTTGTTATTATCGATCATCTGAAGCCTTCTTTTTTCTTTTTTTTTTAATTATACTTTAAGTTTTAGGGTACATGTGCACAGATCATCTGAAACCTTCTTCTCTCAACTCATCAAAGTCATTCTCCATCCCGCTTTGTTCCATTGCTGATGAGGAGCTGCATTCCTTTGAAGGAGAAGAGGTGCTCTGATTTTTAGAATTTTCAGCTTTTCTGTTCTGGTTTCTCCCCTTCTTTGTGGTTTTATCTACCTTTGGCCTTTGATGATGGTGACGTACAGATGGGGTTTTGGTGTGGATGTCCTTTCTGTTTGTTAGTTTTTCTTCTAACAGTCAGGACCCTCAGCTGCAGGTCTGTTGGAGTTTGCTGGAGGTCCAGTCCAGACCCTGTTTGCCTGGGTATCACCAGCAGAGGCTGCACAACCGCAAATATTGCAGAACAGCAAATGTTGCTGCCTGGTCGTTCCTATGGAAGCTTCGTCTCAGAGGGACACCCTGCCGTATGAGGTGTCAGTCTGCCCCTACTTGGAGGTGCCTCCCAGTTAGGCTACTCGGGGGTCAGGGACCCACTTGTGGAGGCAGTCTGTCCATTCTCAGATCTCAAATTCCGTGCTGGGAGAACCACTACTCTCTTCAAAGCTGTCAGACAGGGACGTTTAAGTCTGTAGAAGTTTCTGCTGCCTTTTATTCAGCTATGCCCTGCCCCCAGAGGTGGAGTCTACAGAGGCAGGCAGGCCTCCTTGAGCTGTGGTGGGCTCTACCCAGTTTGAGCTTCCTGGCTGCTTTGTTTACCTACTCAAGCCTCAGCAATGGCGGGCGCTCCTCCCCTAGTCTCGCTGCTGCCTTGCAGTTCGATCTTACAAAGTATTAGTGAGACCCAAATTCATAGAAAGATTTCCATGACATATATCATTTAAGTGAAAAAAGAAGTTGGAGAAAACGTGCACTGTGCAAAAATAAAGTACGTGTGAATATAATGTTAAAGAACTCAAAGTGCATTCACTGATCTGGTTATTCTAGGGAGGAGAACAGATTGGCAAAAGATGACTTACTCATTTTATTCCATATATTTAGATATTTGAATTTTTACAAGGACACATTCATGTACATAAATACATAGGCTGTTAGGATTGCTCATGCCTGTAGTCCCATGCTTTTAGAAACCAAAATGGGAAGAGTGCTTGAGGTCAGCAGTTTTCATTTGTTTTGTTTTTTGAGACGGAGTCTCCCTGTGATGCCCAGGCTGGAGTGCAGTGGTGCGATCTTGGCTCACCGCAACCTCTGCCTCCCAGGTTCAAGCGATTCTCCTGCCTCAGCCTCCCGAGTAGCTGGGACTACAGGCATGCGCCACCATGCCCAGCTAATTTTTATATTTTTAGTAGAGATGTGGTTTTACCATATTGGCCAGGCTGGGCTCGAACTCCGAGGTCAGGAGTTTTAGACCAACCAGGGCAACATAGCAAGACCTCATCTCAAGAACAACAACAAAAAATTAAAATTAGCTGGGCATAGTGGCACACACCTGTAGTCTCAGCTGCTCAGGTGGCTAATGCGGGAGGATAGCTTAAGCCCAGGAGTTCAAAGCTGCACTGAGGTATGATTGTGTTGCTGCATTCCAACCTGGGTGATAGAATGAAACCCTGTCTCTAAAACAATAAAAAATATGTAAGTAATTAAAAATAATGATAATGAACACTTTGTGTGTACTATGTGTCAGGCACTGTTCCTCACACCATCACTCTGAAATATATACTATTTTCATAATTTTATGGATGAGGAAACTGAGGCACTGAGGATTTTTGTCCAAAGTCCCACCTTTAGTGAGTGGTTCCAGAGTCTTTATTATTAACCCCCAAGATCTTCTGAGTGATTTTATCTTAAAATAGTTAGGAACCTGAGGTTAGGCAGATCTGGGTGAGAATCCAGCTCTGTCATTGACAGGCTGCTCAACTCTGAGCAGGCCATATTGAAAGGTGGCATCTGATCTAAAAATTGAATCATAGGAGAAGTCAGCCTCGTGGAACCTTGGTGAGCTCACTTGCTAATCTGTAAAATGGTAAAGAATAACTGCCTTATGGGATTACTGTGGTGGGAGGAGCTAGCCCGGAGGAGCCTTGGGTAAAGAGGTCCCAAGTACGCTTTGATTCCAAAATCCCAGAATTCCGATTTTTACATCTATTTAGAAACTCAAAAATGTACTCCAGAGTTATAAATAGGACCATGTAAGCATTCTGAGGTATAGGGGAGAAATGTTTAGAAGAGTAAGTTCTGAATCATCCACACACCATCTAGAATTCCAGTTAGATATTCACTGGGTTTACTAAGTAAGCACATCTGGGAGACGAAGGTGGAAGGTAGCAGCTACAATTTTACGAACCTTAGTTTAATCATATCTTATAACCCACAAGGTACCAGGCATTGTGCTAGGCACTGGGGGTTCAGAGCATACCGTGAGAGAAGATAATGTTGAGAGATGGTCCATAAACAACTATTCAACAATTGCAACAGCAATTATAAAAGGAGTCATGATGTAGAGTGAATGGATGGGGGCTTGAAGGGACAGTAATCCTAGGGGGACGGAACAGAGAAGGTCAAAGTGAAGAAGTGATACTCAGTCTGAAAATTGAGTGGTAGAAGGAGCCAAACAGAGAAGATCTGGGGGAGGAACATTATGACACAAGAGACAGGAAGAGGAAAGCCTTGGAAACAGGGACCAGCTTGAGAGATTTAGGGGAATAAAAAGGTTCATTGTGACTGGAAATCAGCAAACACGTGGGAAGGGTGTGGGAGATGGAACCAGAGAGGGAGTGCTCGGAGTTTTGGGGGTCTTGTAAACCAAGGGCAGTGGAGACTGAGAACTGAGGAAAAGGGGTCAGGCTTGTTGGAGTGATATTGGTGATCACTGCAACATCAGTATCAGAATTGTGAGGAAAAAAGTCAAATCGTAAAAGGTTTAAAGTTAGTGAGTGTGGGAAAAGCAGAAGCAGTGGCTTTATATTTCTCTTTCCTGGAGAGAGGTGCCGAAGGCATTCAGGAGTAGAGGAAAGAAGGGTTGGAAGTTCCACATGGTTCACTCTAAGAAGGAGAGTTATTATGTATAGATGAGAGATAGATAGATAGATAGATACATATATACATACATACATATAGATAAATAGGTAGATTATGTACACATAGAAAGATAGACGATATATAGAAATAGAAGAAAAAATGCAGGCCAGCTGTTTATGGTTACGTTTCTAACAAATAATAAGATCAGTAGAAATAATCAACCTGCACCATTTTCTGACATGTGTTGTTAGAAAGTCGATATGTGGTGTCACATAACTGAGACCGGCACTGTAGCCAGTTCTTTGGCATTTCATTAAAAACATTATCTCTACCAGGTATCATTGTATATTGGTATTTTTCCATGTATCTATAATTTTTTAAACTACCCCAAAGTAGAGCCAGCATCATTTTAGAAGTAAATTTAAAACCTCTTTGCTAGGCATGCTGCTTGGAAAATCGAACATGGTAGGTTAGTCAGCCATGCCGTGGCTGTGATTCAGGCAGCCTGATCATATTTGCAGTGCTGCTCAAACAAGCAGCGCTCTCATCCTTCATTTCATGGTGATTCAGACTAAAATTACTCACAACTTATGAGGATCATTGTTAAATGGCTATTGAAGATTTTGATATTTGAAAATAATATCAACTAAAAGATAATATTTCTCAGAACAATTTGGAATTCTTGGTGTAGACTTGAGGATTTAGTAGGTTTTTTCCTAATTTTGATGAGAAGTACATCATAGTGTATACAAATATAAAACACAATTAGCCCCTGTGAAAGTCATGATTGGAGTGAAAATACAGAGTCATGATAGACATGTAATACATATATGTATTTTTCTGACACATACGTACCAGTAAAATACGTAGGTACCACTTTGATCAGCAAGAGACAGTTTATATTACTTTTCAATTTGTATAAGCTAAATTAGCTTTTCACTTATATTTATTTGCTTCTACTTTATTGCTCAAAGATGGATGAGATTTTATCTCAAAATTGCCTTCAGTAAGTCAAATTGGGTAAGATTAGTTTTCAAGAATATTAACCAACAATAGTGACCGTTATTAATGGGAAAGTGATTCTTTTGTAAAGCCTAACTTTAGAAAGTTTGCACTGAGAAACAGATTTTGATATTTGTTTTTATAGACACAGTACTTAGTTTTTGTCTTTTTTGATATTTTTCTCAGAAAAGTCATTCACATGGAGTGCTGTATGGACAGAATTCTGTTCCTCCAAAATATATATGTTGAAGCCTTAACCCTGAATGTGACTATATCTGAAGACAGGGCCTTTCAGGAGGTAATTAAGGTTAAATAAGGTCATAAGAGTAGGGCACTAATCCTGTAGGACGGTGGTCTTATAGGAAGAGAGGGGGAGAGAGAGAGAGAGAGCACTGCCATGTGAGGACACAGTGAGAAGGTGGTCGTCCACAAGCCAGGAAGAAAGCCCTCATCTGGCACCCTGGTCTTGGCCTTCCCAGCCTCCAGAGCTGTGTGAGAATAAGTGTCTATTATTTAAACCTCCCAGTCTGCAGTATTTTGTTATGACAGCCTCAACAGACTAAGGCAGGGTGCCTGACACCTAGCCAGACAAGTCCACTGTTTTCCACATTCTTTTGTGCCGTATTAATGATTAATAAGCCTCAACACATAACTTCAAAATAAATATTTGCAGAAAATAGATTCCTTTTGAAATTAATCCGCATATGTACCCGTAAATTATTCTCTGAACAAAATTTGCTACGTTATCTGTATAAACGATTCACCCAAATGCTTCTCTTTGTCTACCATTATCCCCTCCGTGTGAGGCCATTTGTTTCTAAACAGTAATATTTCATGTACCTCAGCCATTATCATGGGGAGCTACATTCTCTCTGTGGATTTTAAGTGAAGATGGAACAGAATGCAATCATTAGCTTTTAGAAGGAGCCAGTGTAGGCTGTGGGTTTCAGTCTTAGACCTGCGAGTTCAAAGCTTAAGATACTGAAATAACATATATTTTGGATAAGTGATACAAATAATTATTTTAAAGCTATAGTGTTAAATGGCAGAAAGGTAACTGTGAAGGCCATAAAATCCCTTTGGAAAGGTATGTAAGGGGGAATAAATCTACTAAGAGATTTGTAACCAGAAAAAAAGGCGTCATGCAGGCGGGGCTCCTGGGAGATACTAATAAAGGCGGAGCATTTGGGCAGGCCCCGTTCGCACAAACTCACCATCCATCCGACACGACCGCCTCCGCCTGCTCTCAGACAAGCTTCAGATCCACCTGCAGCTTCAAGACATGATTCTATTGCTTTACCTAAAATGGCAAAGGAAAATTTTTCTTCAAATTGTATTTGAGTTCAGTGACATTATAGCTCCAAGTCCCATTTTCTGAAAATAATCTTCATCCAGCCAGACTTGGAATGGAAAGAGAATTCACACAGAAAAGGAGAAAAAAGAGAGGAAACGTATCGAGTAAATGCTTACATGTGAAGCGCTGTCTGAAATGTTTTACATTTATCACATTTTATTTTCATGAAGACATATGGGAAAATGGAGGCGTAGCAGGCAACGTGTGTAAACGTCACTGTTTACTCATACTGACATGGGCTAAATGAAGATAGAATTAATGCCTCTGAGAGTTATTTATGTATATATAAGAGCTAATTACGTATTTTATCCCAAACATAGAGCAGCCAGCCACACATTTTGGACTCTGTGGAAGCCACAATTTTAAAAATTCAGCGCTGTCTTGTTCCATATTTTCATCTTATCATCAAACCCTCTGTCTCAAATTTAGAACAGTAAGTTTGGACACAGCTCCTGGCCAAACCTTCTTTTGGCATCTGTGAATGAAAGTGCAGTTATACAGCAAAGATCACCGTCAGTGGGAGATCCAGAATTAATGTGGATTGAAGCTGAGTCGAGACGCAGTGGCTTTAATTCAGAACTGCTGCTAATCCAGTGTCCACGGACACTCTCGTAGAGAAAAGAATGCAAAGTACGGGGTGCAGGAGATGATATTAAACAGTCTCCGAATGTAGGTAAGTGCAAGAAAAGAAGGTGGAGGCAGTTTATAGAGGTGATTTAAAAGTTTTCATATAGTAGAAGCACATCCTGAACCAATCAGGAAGAGTTGGTTTAAAAAAAATCATGAAAAGGATATTTTGGTGATTCTGTACTGAAAGGGGAGAAGATGAGAGAAAAATCAATCAGAAGATTCAAACCTAGAGATAAAGAGACTCAAACCTGGAGAGAATTACTTCGTTTTGCTAGAGATGTCTAGCAAAACCAAGTAATTTTGCAAATGAAAGATTGAAGGTAGAGTGAAGAAGTGTCTTCTGAGAGATCCTTGGGCCTTGAAAGAGGCTGAGAACCCTATGTGGTCCCCTTGGTCAGTCCTAATACAGACCCTAAATCATAGCACACATCTCTCTCTCTCTCTCTCTCTCCTCTCTCTCTCGCACACATCTCTCTCTCTCTCTCTCTCTCTCTCTCTCTGTATCTCTTTCTCACTCCCTTCTCCGGGCAGGAGAGACAGCTGCAGGTGGGGGAAGGGTGGTGTCCAGTGAGGGGCCCAGGCCAGCTTTCTCAGGGGTCGCACTGGGCTGGTGAGGATCTTTGCAGCCTGAGGGCACCAACACTGGATGGGATAAGGGCAGACCAGATGGAAGGAACCTGGCACAAGCCATTTAATTAAATGCCCCTGCCCCTCACCCTTAAGTTAGAGAGAACCAGTCTGCAAGCTTCAGATTCCAGAGTAGGAACCCAGGTAAGGAGGGAGGAAGTGCCAGGAGCACACACAGACCCAGAGCCAAAGGGGAAGGTCTGTACAAAGCTGCCCCCATCCTCGGCATCGCTGGTGTGCCTGAGTGTCATGGGAGACAGCGACCACACAACACCCTTGGGGAAATGGGTGAGAGAGCAACACAGCGTGGCTAAAGATGAGCACTATTCTAAAAGAAAATACGGACTAAGAAAAGATGATCACAATTTTCATCTTTTCTTCAAGAGTGGTTACTTTTGGGGTTCAGTGAAAGAGTGGCTATCATTTTTTAGCTTAACTTTTATTTCAGTCTTCTTTTTTTTTCTTTTTCTTTTTTTTTTTTGAGACAGAGTCTCGCTCTGTCGCCCAGGCTGGAGTGCAGTGGCGCAATCTTAGCTCACTGCAAGCTCCGCCTCCCGGGTTCATGCCATTCTCCTGTCTCAGCCTCCCCAGAAGCTGGGACTACAGGCGCCCACCACCACACCCGGCTGATTTTTTGTATTTTTTTAGTAGAGACGGGGTTTCACTGTGTTAGCCAGGATGGTCTTGATCTCCTGACCTCGTGATCCACCCGCCTCAGCCTCCCAAAGTGCTGGGATTACAGGCGTGAGCCACTGCACCCGGCCTTATTTCAATTTTCTAACCAAGAATGTTTATGTGCCTGGCGCGGTGGCTCACACCTGTAATCCCAGCACTTTGGGAGGCCAAGGTGGGCAGATCACGAGGTCAGGAGTTCAAGACCAGCCTGGCCAACATGGTGAAACTGTGTCTCTACCAAAAATACAACAATTAGCTGGGCATAGTGACATGTGCCTGTAGTCCTAGCTACTCAGGAGGCTGAGGCAGGAGAATCTCCTGAACCCAGGAGGCAGAGGTTGTGGTGAGCCGAGACTGCACCACTGCACTCCAGCCTGGGCGACAGAGCAAGACTCCATCTGAAAAAAAAAAAAAAAGAATGTATATGTGATCATACTTTGTTGGTTTATTAATACATTTATTTTGTATGTCAACAAGGGTTATCTGACTGGTAAGACTGTGAACCATATTTTGTTTTTTCTTTGTTATTCTCTGCTAAAAACAAACAATAAAAGGAAATAAACAGAAGGTCCTCAAAATGTGGACTTGTAATTGTGCACTGATGGAAACAAATGAAAAAGCAACACATTTATCGCAATATAATAAAACACAAACTGACATATTAAAAATGGGAACTTTTTTGTTTAATTACTCCGTCAGGTACATTTTATTTCTATCCCTTTGGGAGTCAGCTGAGCATCTTTCAGGGAATTGACCTCCTGCAGAAAATTAGTCACCCTGGGGTCTCAGCTTTCTGGATTCCTGAGGATGTGCCCTACACCTGACAGGGCAGAAACAAGGACAGAATGCCTCATGCTTACTTCAGTTTGCTTTTCAGATAAATATTTATTTTTCTTTTCTCTCCAGCTCAACATTTAACTTTTCATGCATAGTAAGCATTCATCTTGAATTTATTGTTAATTACATAGCTCTCGTCATTTTGGTTTAGCAATATTGCCGACTCATTTAAATGCCAAAAAAATTTTAATTTATTTATGAAACCTTCTAAAAAAGCTTGAAAACACAATTTGGTGGAGGTTAGCCATTTGATTTCAACAAATTTCAGATGTATATGGCTGGATTCTATTTAAATCAATTTTTTTTCTGAATGCAAAATTGATATTTCTTATAAATGCTAAGCATTATTTTATATAAAAATGCCAAACTTCTGTGATAATCAACATATTTCCCTTATTAACATAGTCTAAAATATATTTAAAAATTCTAATTTGATGAGAAAATTTTGAATGGGGATGGTTATCATTCACTCTTTCTGGATTGTTTCTCAACATTGAAATGGACAGTCATCCTCTTAGGAAAAACCCAAACTGAAGTTCTCAAAACTAGGTTTGGGGAGAATTATAACTGATTTGAGATTTGGTTGATAAATGCATCATTCCTGATTGGGAAATGATTAAATTTTCAGCAATTGGCATTTGGGCCAATTTAAAGTGATTCGAGATAGATTGTAACTGCAGTAATATTACTGGGGAAATGGAGTATTTGCTCAAGACAGGTCTTGTTCTTTTAACCAATTTTCCTTTTTTCTTGTGATCTGAACTTATTTCAAATTAGTTAGATGAGACATGGCATATGCTATTCAACCAAAATGTAATGGTCAATGAAGATGTTAACACATGTCCTCGTTCACATTTTAAGCACATATTAATATTCTCAATCTCAAAAACATTTACAGTCATCTCCCTGCAAGGGATTGGTTCCAGGACCCCCTCGGGTACCAGAATCTGCTCATACTTAAGTCCCACAGTCAGCCTTGTAGAGACTTCTGATACAGAAGGCCAACCATATTTATTGAAAAAAAGGTGACACATTGATTATAATGCAAAAGTGTAAATATGAAGGAAACCATCTTCCTTTAGTACAGAAGGCATATTTGTGCCAGGTGAAATGACTGAATATAAGAACAATATTTAAAATAAGCTCTGTAGAACTCGCATATTACCTAACCTTGTTAAATATGGCTTATTTGCCTCTGGTGTTTCTATTTTTTAGTCCAAGGCGTTTTCCCTTTTTTTCTCTCTGATTACTTATCTTTCTTCTTTGTCATCAATATTCACAGTATTGAAGCATCCCTTTAATTTCTTAGTCTATTTGATTTCCTCTAAAATGTCATTAGCATACTCTTTACATACTCAGACACACGGTACTAATTGATTAAATAAATTCCAAGAAAGACATAAAATTAAGCACATTATTACATTCAGAACGAATGAGAGACATTTAAAGTCAAAAACCCCCACCAAACTTTAAATTTTCAGCAAATAGAAGCTCTGTATGAATATGATTTTAATTAACAGTCACTTCATTTTAAATAATCACATCACTTACAGAGGTATGATGTTAAGAGGCTTGGTTTTCGCATAATCGCTGTGGGAAGGTGAGCGCTCACATAAAAAGCACACCCAGCTGAACCTGGAGGATTCATGCAGTGGGGAAACTGAACTTGCGTTCAATGTAGCCTTGCTGAGGAATATTGAAAGACGTGACCAATCATAGGTACTAATGCCCTATTGGGACAACCATAGATCCTGATAAAGAATTCTGAGGAACTTAACACCAGAGCAAGCCTGATACAGAAGTATGTAAAACAGAACATCAGAGTAAGCTCACTGTAATTACTGGTGCAAATTGAACATCTGCTGACTATTTTCTAAAGATAGGATGATGTGTAACAACTGCAACATTAATTTCATATAAATGGAGCTGAATATTCATTACAGCTTTGTAGCCACTTGCTGCCTGTCCACATACATTCAGGTTATTTGTTTTGCCCAATAATAAAATCAACTAATTCTGTATTTGTGAATTGGCATGTTTCTTTGGGTATTGATTTTCCCCCCAACAATTTGGTGATGAGGATGGGATTTCTTGAGTGAGTGCTTCTATTGGTTAATTTGTGGGAAGATTTGTGTCCACCTTCTTAAAAAGTCATTTTATTGTGATAAAACACACTTAACATAAAATGTGGCCTCTTGGATTAGGTAAGAGACCCCGACTGTTTGCTTAAAAGTCTCCCATTATCTACTTTGGCTCAGCAGGATTGGGTTCCTGGGGAAAATTTCAAACCCTTACTACAAATTTGGAGTTATTATTGAGCAAAATGTGTAATGCAGGCTCACAGGTCCTATATGATTCAGGATAGGTTTTAACGGCAGAAAAATATGGGAAGTCCAGAATGTTGCTGGCAGGTCTTTCTCTTAGAAGGGTTATTTCACTCTATTATGTTTAGAATGGGTAAACTTCTGAAAATTCTGCTTTGCAATGGCCAGAGAAAGGCTTTTTTTTTTTTTTTCCCTGAGACGGAGGCTCACTCTGTCGCCCGGGCTGGAGTGCCGTGCCGTGGAGCCATCTGGGCTCGCTGCAAGCTCCGCCTCCCGGCTTCATGTCATTCTCCTGCCTCGGCCTCCTGAGTAGCTGGGACTGCAGGCGCCTGCCACCATGCCCTGCTAATTTTTATGTACTTTTAGTAGAGACAGGGTTTCACCGTGTTAGCCAGGATGGTCTCGATCGTGATCTGCCCGCCTCTGCCTCCCAAAGTGCTGGGATTGCAGGCATGAGCCACCGTGCCCGGCCGAGAAAGACTCTTTTGAGGTAGACAAATTAGTGTATGCACGGAGATTTTAAGGAAAAAAAATCCCAAATAAACGGATAATTTATATTCCTGAGATGAAGTAGTCAGTAATAAAACAAAAACCAAAAAGAGTGAATTAAGAAATTGGAAGAATAGAGTAAGAATCTGAAAGCTCTTTTTCTTCCTCCAGCTTCTCATTTCTTCTCTGCTGTCATTCCTTTTGTTTCCTCAGCTTCTCTTCACCCTTCTTTGCTCAATCTGGGATCTCAGAGGAGGGAGGTAATGGTCTCTTGGATGAATTGGAAACCTGGGATGAATTCCCTTTAGAAGGAGCAAATTGTTTAGCTTTATTAGAATATCCTGATATTGGATGCCCTAGTTCTGATCCCATCTCTGTGATTCCCTCTAAACTGAATATGCAAAACACAACTAAACATCTATAAATTACTCAGAAGAAAGATCAAAGAGTCAGTGAGAATTTGGGTAAGAGATTGTATCCTAGAATAAAGGTTTTGGGTTGCTGAATGGTTGATTGCCTTAAGAACTTAGAAGAAATGGAGGGAGTCAAATTACTATGGCATAACAGGGACTGAAACTACAGTGCCATACAAACCAACTTATTTTTCATTTCATGATGAAAATCAGCCCTATCCCTTTGCAACTGCAGTGACACAAATGCCAGAATCCATATTGCCTTCCCCCAAGTTGATATACTTCTCTTAAGAGATTTTTTTCTATTGCTCTGGGAAGATTCACACAAATTTGCAGAAGTGCTCTGCAGCATTTTTTCAACATATAACTACACACGTGAGGATATAAACTGGCTGCTGTGTGATGTGTTGCCTCTGGCTGACTTGCTCAACTAGTGGAACAGGTGTGATAGAGGCCAAATTATAACCCCCTCATCAGGGAGTGCCATGGCCTCAGGAAACCAGCCGTCCACCTCTTTCCATAACTCAGTGTGAGGGATGGCTGATGGCAGTCCTTGGAGCCTCTCTGCATATGGTGACCTCTAGCAGTGCTACAATAACGCACTCAAGAGGCAGGTGTGTCCCTGTTGCTTTTCATCAGCAGTGCACTGAAGCAGTTTATAAATTTTTGGGGCCCAATCCAAGGGAAGATCAGAATATATCCTTGGTCCTCTACCTTTTAAGCAGGCTTTTTGCCAGGAATTTCCCTGCCAGCAATTGTCAGGAGAAAAAATAGTTTGATGGCAAGGGCGGACAGTTGGTGCCAGCAATCCATTTTGGGAAAATGTGGGGAAGAACTTAAGACTGCAGTGTTAGCTGCCCAGTTAGAATTATTCACAGATGGGACAGATTTTATTGTGAGCCAACAACAAATAAAAAGGAATGCTCTAATGGAAAGTTGATATATCACTGTTGTAAGAAACCAGGATATTCAGAAAGGGGATGCTGAAGAAATTAAGACGCAAAGGATTCAACCTGAGTCTGAAGCTTTATTAGCTTCTCTAGGAGATTTTTCTCCTGAGAAACTGGATGAGAAATAATTGGCAAACGGTGCAAACTAGTGTGCAAAACTGACATAATGAGGAAACCTTTGAGTTGGGAAGCAGAGAGCTTTATATGTCTGTTTCTTTTCCTCATCTTAATCTTTTCATGTTTTTTTTTCTTTTTTTTTTTTGTGAACCCTGGAGCCATGTATTCTGTAATTTCTTCTGACCTTTTTTTTGTTTTAATGTTTTGGATATCTCCGGACAACCTTCTGTCTGTTCTTGCTGCTCTGAAATTATTCTGCAAATAGATCTTTTGTAAAAGAAACATGCTTTTATCTAGTCTCCTGATGCACCTAGCTATTTGTTGGAAAGGGACTCGCTGTGTAAACTAATGCCTCCCACCCATTCTGTATTCTGGGTGAAATGATTTTGGAGCCCTGGGAGGCAAGGCACCTGATGATAAGGTAAAGATGTGCCTTCTGAAACCAATGGGGGCAGTGGTGAGTGGCAATCTCACCTTGCACTGGAATAGATCAATTGACAAGAAGTAGATCCATTTTTCTGGATCCCAGGAACAAATATTTTAGTAAAATGTATCAATGCTATAATTATAGCTTACAACATGGAATAGCTCAATTATAAGATATAATCTATACATTTTTTAATTAGGAAAATGAGCTGTAATAAAGGGCATTCAGTTTGTAATGCTTCTACATTACCTGTGAAAAAGGAAGGAAAATATGACAGGGAAGGTGGACCTGTTTATAGATTTGTACAAGATCTTATAGAAATAAGTATGTTTGTGATTCTTCTGGTACCTGTGCTTGTGCTAGCTGACCTGGCTACTATTTTAATTACAATACCTATGCCAACTAAGTATTCTTCTGCAGTAGACTTTTGTTCAGGTTTTTTTCTGTACCTTTACATGAGAAATCAAGGTTCATCCTTACATTTACCTATGGCAGCTTTCAATATTTGTGGCAACGGATTCCTCAGGATTTAGAGATTCACCTACTATATTCTCTAGACATTTACTGTTCAAGAGAACTTAAAGTCATTTTCCTCACCTTAGAGTTTCATGCTGATTCAATATGCAGATGAATCATTGATAGCTGCTGACACCTTACATGTGATAAGAAGAAAATGTAACTTTCTACAAATTTTTAGCTTCCTAAGCATATAAAACATCCCTAGATAAATAGCAATAGTGTCAAACTGAACTCAAGCATTTGGGACATTTGTGACTGGCCAATAAAAAATAGTCCCTTCCTAGAGTCAGCCTATTTTACAAATTAAGCTTGCTTAATTAAAAAAAATCAAGTTTGCCAGTTTTGGGGATTGGTTGGGAATTGCAGTCAGGAGATCCCTGCCTGTTCAGAAAAGGCGAAGCCTGTCACTGAGCTGTTGCATCAAACGTCACCAGCACCTTTACTGGGGTCATGTTAGCAGTGGAAGATCTGTACAGGTCTGCAACAACCTCAGTTCTTGCTACCTCAGAAGAAGGAATTCAACCGAGGAGCTTAAGGTGGAGGAAGAGACTGAGGCAGAGACTCGGAGCAGGAGTGAATGTTTATTAAAAAGTTTCAGAGCAGGAACCAAAGAAAGTGAAGTACATTTGGAAGAGGGGCAAGCCGGCAGCCTGAGAGATTCAAGTGCACGGTTTGACCTTTAACTTGGGGTTTTATACATTGGCATTCCATATGCACAGTGGCCTGTCAGCACTTGGGAGGGGTCATAGGCATAATGTGTTCACTGGAGTTGTATGCATGTTCCTAGAAGAAGGTCATGTACCAGTTAAACTCCACCATTTTGCCTCTTAGTGCGCATGCTTGAGGCCACTCACCCAGCTCCTGAGATCATATTGGGAAGCTTCTGATCACCAGTTACAGGTGTTTCTATCTATTGCGAGACTGCCTTTCCCTGGCACTGGCTACAACCAATTATTTTAGAGAGACAGTGTAACAACTGCCTGACCATCACCTGATGGTTGCCTGACATTCCTGGGGTCGGGGGGTCCTCTCCTGTTCTGCTCATGTCTGACTAACTACTATCACAGTCAGAAGAAGCTGAAAAGCCTTTCAAACCCTTTAAGGACCTATTGTCTCCCCACGTGTATTCATAACTCTGGTAAACTATTCTACTTTTTCCATCTGGAGAATAAAGGAGTTGCTAGTGGTGTGCTTACTCAGAACCTAGGCCCTGACTATAGACCTATTGGTTACTTTCCTGTCTTGTTGGATTCTGTTGTTCTGGATATGCCAGGCTTTCTACAAGCCACAGTAGCTCTTCTGATTGTGTCACTGCCCGATGGGTTCTTCCTGCTCGCTGCAAAAAAACAAAACAAAACAAAAAACATGGTATTTGCTGTAAAGAGTTTAAATTAACTCAAGGTTGGCAACACCACATTAGAGATGAAGTTATTGTTCAAGTCAGTCTCATCGAAGGCTCATAGGTTAGGGATTTTTCAAAGGTAGTTTAGGGAAAGGGCGGGGAGTGGCTAGGCAATGGGTGCTTGCCGCTGATTGGTTGGGGGTGTAATCATAGGGGTGTGGGAAATGATTCTTCTGCATGCTGAGTTACTTATGGGTGGAGCTACGGGAGCTGTTGGCAGGTCCAGTGGAGCCATCGGTAGTCAAACATGCAAAAAACCTGGATATCTCAAAAGGCTAATCTTAGATTCTACAATACTGATGTTATCTGCTGGAATTCATGAGGAAGTTGCATATCTCGTGACCTCTGGACAAATGGCTAGCAATCATTTATGTCTGTATTTTAGCAGAATTTAGGCTCCTCTATTCTCCTAGCCTGGTGGTCTCTCATTAGCTTTAGTTTTGGGGAAGGGCTATTATCATTTAAACTATAAACTAGATGTCTCTCACGGTTGGCTTGCCTAAGCCCAGGAATGATTAAGGGCAACTTGAAGGTCAAGGGCAAGAAGGGGGTTAACTAGATCAGGTCTCCCCATTGCCATAATTTTGTCACTGTTAGAATTTGTGCAAAGGCGGTTTCAGAGCTCAGCTTTGACCCTAGGACATTGAACTTCCATGTGCCTCATGTTGTTGCTGCTGTTTTACAAATTCATAGACAGAAAATTTCTAGCACACTGCCGGATAAGCCACGAGCAAGTCTTATTATCTCATACTAATATTATTCTAGGCAGGTGGCACCTTTTGAGTCTGGTTACTCTGTTTGTAGATCCTAACCAAATAGGAGGATGTGACTGCCTCATAGTCACAGAAAATACTCAACCTAGGCCTGATTCATTCAGTATTCTTATTCCCAATGCTGGCAATATTGTTCATTGATGGATCCGTGTGAGAGACACACAGGAATATACAATTGCATCTTATTTTATAGGTAGAGATGGCTTTTTCTTAGAACATATTATACATGATTACAAGTGTAAAAATATGGTGAAATAATTTTATTTGCTTTTCAAATGATTTTTGTTGCTAAAAACTAAAATTAAAAATAGAGAACAAGTATCCTAAATGTTTTTGAAACTATTATCATAGCAATTCTCAGACTATCAAGACTATGAACTATTTTCCATGATAGCACACTAATCATAACAATCATAACCATTTGTATGTGCATATCTAATATCTAATATTCAGGGATAAGGTCATACAGATTACCCAGTTTAATGCTCACAGATTCTTATGTGAAAAAATATATATTTGGTCATAGTTAAAATGGACAAAATAAGTGAATCTGTCTGATGGTCAGATAGTAAATATGTCAAACAAACAAATGATTACAATTTTCAGTTAGAATAACAAAAGCACTTAGATCACTGACTTAATAATAGTGATTCCCTAGGTAATTTTTTCATCTGTGCAGGTTGATTATCAGGGATGAAAAAGTGTGAAAACATTCCAATTAAGTAAATTGCTCTGCAGTTGGTGGGAAGTACTAAGTAATTACTTGTGGTGAGTCCAGAGATGAAGATGGAGTGGGCATCTCTGAGTCATCCAGGCAAAGGAAGACAGGTGCTGCTCCTCACAGCAGAACAAGGAGCTGGGTTTAGAGAGACTGGATAGAATATAGCATTAGGAAGGTTATCTCTAACAATCAAGTCAATGCACCAGCATTTGCCTGGGACCAACTGTGTGTTAAACACTGGTAAATACTGGGAGGGTTAAAGGTGCAGATCTTGGGGAACCTAGCATAAAATTCAACACAGCAGACATTTATTCTCCTTGAAGAATTCCTGACTTTGCAACAATGCCTATCATGTCCCAGAACGAGGCTTGTTGTTGAAAGTCTCTGAGAAACCAGAGATGGCACCAGCATAATACCCTGAACTTTTATAAAGCACAAAGATTTATAATTATAATAAGGAAATCTGAGAGCAAGAAGACATGCTGATCGATCTCACACAGGAAATTTGTCCCAGATCCAAGTCAAATGACAAGTTAGATGAATTGCCTGCTTTCTAAAAAGGTATTTTAACATTTAACTAATGGGATCATTTAAAGTCAATAGCAATATCTCAGAAAGAACACCTGTTAAGTTGTGATATATTTAGTTATATGCACTATACACAGAGAGCTAAGTGGCTAGTTCTGCTCTCTTCATTATCTGAATTATTTTAAAAATTACATTTAAGTTAATCTTGATTCGTATTTTGGATTGCTTTATGTTTCTGAATGATCATTTCCTCAAAGTTATCAGTAGTGAGCAAACACAAGGAAACATTTATTTGTCTTTTTTAAACATGCACTACACTTTGTTTTTCTCTTTTTGACTTATTCAAATATGGTAAATTAATTAATTTTTATTTAAAAAAATGATAGGATGCTCAAGTATCAAACATACAAATGTATTTGCAGTGTTTCATTTTTCAATGATTATGTATATTTAATTAATTAAAGATATGCATAAGTGCATATACACATACATTTTTTTCAATAAGGTACTCTTGCTGTCATTGATTATTCATTTATTTTCTAACATTTCTTTCTTTCTTGACCCAAATATAAACTAACTATTTCAGGCCATGCTCTTTTAGTGCTAGAGAAAACTTTAGATTCCATAGTACTTTTTTTTTTTTTTTTGAGATAGAGTCTCACTCTGTCACCAAGGCTGGAGTGCAGTGGTGCAATCTTGGCTCACTGCAACCTCCACCTCCGAGGTTCATGTGATTCTCCTGCCTCAGCCTCCTGAGTAGCTGGGACTACAGGGGCACGCCACCATGCTAGGGTAATTTTTTTTTTTTTTTTTTTTTGAAGTAGAGATGAGGTTTCACCATATTGGTCAGGCTGGTCTCAAATTCCTGACCTCAGGTGATCCACCTGCCTCAGCCTCCCAAAGTGCTGAGATTACAGGCGTGAGCCACCGTGCCTGGCCCTGTAGTACTTTGTAGCGTGCTTTCCAGCTAAACTGAAGCCTCAGGTGACATACCATGGCTCTCACAGCTAATTAATGAAAAAGCTGGAACCATCACCCACATTTCTTAATTCCTACTTCAGTTCATTTAATAATGCTAGAATAAGGCAAAGTCACACTTTTCTCATTTTGTGTTGATAAACATTGTATTCTAATGGTTAGTAAAATATTAATAATGCATTCATGAGCACTTTAAAATAATTAAGTACAGCTGTTCACATAGGCAGTTATCGATACTAATTTAAATAAGAAACAGTTTTGCATGTTACATCATTATCTGTAATCTTCTGAAAATAACAGGGACAAAAGCAGTATCATCCTTGCCTAATGTCATCTGCTAGTGAGGGGATGCAGACCTAAGTGACTAAGTTGATTCCGGCTGAGAATCAAAGGAAAAGGTCCATAGATTCATCCTTGCTTTCAAAGAGTGGCATTGTGAGAATGAGTAAGAGGAAATATCACTTAGTATTAACAGATGATAATAAGTAGTGTTTCCTACTAATTGATTATTTACCATATGCTAGTCCTATGCTAAGAGTTTAGAGATACGTGAGAGTCTTGTGAGTCCGGATCATCATTCTCCCCAGTGTTCAGAGGGGAAGGCTCTGCATGGTTGAGTATCTTGCCCATAGTCACAGAACCAGTATATGTTGGGACTTGGCCTCAGACCCAGGTCTCTCCAGCTTCGCAGCCTGTGTTCATCATATGATGTATCACTTACAGGAAACTCCAAAACTGAGCTGAAGTCTTTGACAGTTGCAGGAGTCAGCATCCTGCTGGAGCCGTGGCCTCACAGTCCTGTCTGTGTCCTTGGGAGGGCTCTGTGGCAGCCCCAGGTCCCACTTGCCAGGAGTCCCTTCTTCACCCATGGGCATCCTGAGAACAGAGGAGGCTGAGGGGGCAGCAGCAGAGGGTTAACAGCTCTTCAGCAGGCACTGGGTCCACATGCTGGAGCCCTTTTTTGTTGATTTATTGTGTTTAGACATCAGATGCGAAGGTTTCCATGAGTCACCTTCCTCAGTGAGGAATCATGAAGGAATGATCGGTCTGGCCTGCATAAGGCCCTACTCTTGCCTTGGTGTTCATTCATTCATTAATCATATTTTTTTATACATGATTCATATTTCCCCAGTCCAATACATTTTATTTGTACATATTCTTTTAAAAATCATAATTCTTTTGTTCACACATATTTACACTTACATATAATATTGTTTTATATCTTTCATTTTGCTTTTTACTGATTAACTCTGCATAAATATAATTGTACTAGTCATACTAAGGTGATAAAGATAATATGCTAATTTTTAATAATCAATAGAAACATTTTAATTACTTCATAAAATCATCAAGGTATATGTCATGGTAATTATATTATTAATGCTATATACTTAGAAATAATACAGTTTCTTCATATAACACTTATAATTAACAAAGTGTCTTAATCAAATAATCTTGTTAACAGGCATTACAGGGAGCAGCTTAACAATATCTTTCATTTGTATAGTTCCTTAGAATTTTCAAGTCACCTACAGAAACATCTTCCAACAAGCTATAATTGGGCAGAGCAGTTAGTATTATCCCCATGTTACTCATAAAGAAGCTGAGATTACAAGCACTAAAATTTGTATCCAATATCAGCATAGTCTGGCAATTAAGGAAACAGAATTAGAACTCAGGGACTCACGGGCACTTTCTTACCCCACACACAGACAGCTTAAAATAATAACAGCATATTAAAATAAGAATCTCTCGTAGTACATTTGAGTGTTTGGGAAACTAATAATAAGCTGAAGCTGCTGAAGAATCTATTTCTTTTAGACAGGCTTTTCTAACATCTTTGTGAGGACTAACTGAATTGATGTGTGAAATTGCATAGGACAGTGGTGGCCCTATGCATAGTAGAGATTTAATGCTTATTTTAAAATTCAGAGACTCATTTCAGTATCTCGTAATTTAAAATAAAGATTTGATGATAAAAACCCACTAAAACAGAAACGACAAAATGACAAATTTGGAAAAATAACAAATTTCTAACAGTCTTCTTAAAAATAGTTGTTGATGAGTCTTACCTTGACAGATTTTTTTCTGCTTATGGCTGTCAATCTGGGTATTTCATACTCAACCACAACTATCCATGTGCTTAACATTTTGCAGACCAGGATATCACATGAGCACCATCACTGACTGTGACTGTTAGATTTAACTAATGTGACCGCTAAAAATCAAAGTAGAGTGTTGGAAATTTTTCAGTAATGTCATTAATTCCTAAGTTATTTATGAAACATATTTCCAGCATGTGAGTGGACTCCAAGCCACAGATTTCAGTCACTTTCATGTATACCTAAGGAACATGTTATGAAAACTGATCATTTTATCTGAAAATACTCATTTTTGATTACTTAATATAATACTTAGCTAGAATGCCCTCAAAGACAGGGAATCCACATCAAACTTAAGTGACTGTCTTTCAATAAGATGGAGCTTTTATACATGAACACACCACACACACACACAAATTGCAGAGGAATGCTGTAAAAAATAAATGATTTATAATCTTAAAAATACATTATATATATTAACTAGTTTAATTCTTACCAAGATTGCCAGATAGATATAATTTTTCTACTTTACAAAGAAAGATGATGATTTCTCCCAAGGTCACATGCCTGCTAAGACAGAAAAGAATTTGAAGGACTATGGCTTCCAAAAACTATTCTGTATACTCTCACTCTCCACAGAGCTGTAACCTTTGCTGTTTATGTCTAAAATGAAGACGTAATCCTCTGCAGAATTGTTGAAGGCTGCATATTTCTATAAAAGCTGGCTTATCCTTCTAGAAGGTTCATTTTTCCACCTTAATAAAACAAAGCAGGAATAGGTATTTGTGTTCGCCATTCTTTTGTCCATAGTGGTCATGTGCTCACGTATGAACTCATGTCTGCTCTGCAAGCTCTCGAAGCAAACTTTGAATATAATGAATAAGAGACTACACTGCATATTTTTAAGACACACATTATTTTACTGTTATAGATAAGGTTATTTCAATAATAAGCCCTGAATGTTATGACAGTGAAATGCTAGTATAAATCTTTCCTGCCCAAAATGTATTCTCTTTAATTTCTATATCTTTAAAGAACAATGGTTCATTTGGTTGGTATCCCATGAAGCTGGTTATAATTCTATATAAGACAATAATGTGATTTCTGAAATTTCAAATGAATTAATGTGATTATATATATAAACTTTTAAATATATTTTAGTCATATGTAATAAATGTTTGATTTTTTATTGATATCTCTGAAGTTGCAAAGAGTATGTTTCTCATCTGCCTTATTCACAAACTATTAGGTAATGTCTATTTAAAGTTTCTTAAATGTTAATCTATTTAATTACGCAAAAATTGACATTAAATTTTATTTTGCTACATGATCCTATTATCACATCACTCAGAAGTATATTTTCCAGAGTTTACACTTTGAAACAAATTGAGAAAGAAGTAACATTTGGCAGATAAAGGTGAAAAAATTCTGTTTTGGTAGGGTTCCTTTGAAAGGTTTTTATTGTATTGTTTTTACTGAGGTTTACAAAGTTTATTCAGCTACAGAAAAATATGATTTTAATTCTGCAACTGAATTTTAACATTGGAGTCAAAATGCTCATAGGATCTGATGTTCCTGTATTAGCTTGGCTGTATGTCTTAGATATTAAACCCAAATTAGAACCAAAATAAAAGGATGGATCAACCATCTCTACCAACCATGCCAACAATGACCAACCTGGGTCACAGTCACAGCAGCCACCTCCACGCAGGTGGTGGGCTGATTGATTTCCAGGTGTTATCTCAATTAGTACTCTGGCCCTTCAAGATCAGTTTTACAGATGAAGAAACCGCAGCTTGCAGCAGAGAGTAGCAGGGTTTGAGGTGGTGGAGCTGGGATATGGCTTATTTTATATAGGTCAGCCTGGGCTGTCCAGACAGAAGGTTGTGAGTGCAGAGGTTGTGCAAATATTTACCTGAAGTTTGTATAGCGATTGTTAACTCAAAAAATGTTGATGTACATGACCCTTTAGTTGGAACAAGAGTGAAATGATTATCTCTGGCTGGGCATGGTGGCTTAATGACTGTAATCCTAGCATTTTGGGAGGCCCAGGTGGGCAAATTACTTGAGGCTGGGGGTTCGAAACCAGCCTGGCTAACATGGCAAAACCCCGTCTCTACTAAAAATACAAAAATTAGCCAGGTGTGGTGGCATGCTCTTGGAATGCCAGCTACTGGGCAGGCTGAGGCAGGAGAATTGCTTAAATCTGGGAGGCAGAGGTTGCAGTGAGTCTAGATCGCACCACTGCATTCCAGCCTGGAAGACAAAGTGAGAACCTGTCTCAGAAAAAAAAAAAAAAAAAAAAAAGGTGAAATGATTCTCTTGGAACTGGCATGAATTAGCAATAGACGAACTGTTACCAAGTCTGACATCAACACTAGCATTTAAAATTGACCACATTCACTAAGGCATTTCCTATATTTTTATTTCCATGTGTTTATACCCAGGGACACCCATTGGTGGTTGGATATGAGGCAGGCTGATCTTTATTCTCTTCGTTTTGTTGTTAAGCCTGGTACATTCTTTTTTTTTTTTTTTTTTTTTGTGACGGAGTCTACCTCTGTTGCCCAGGCTGGAGTGCAGTGGCACGATCTCGGCTCACTGCAAGCTCCACCTCCCGGGTTCACACCATTCTTCTGCCTCAGCCTCCTGAGTAGCTGGGACTACAGGGGCCCACCACCATGCCCGGCTAATTTTTTTGTATTTTTAGTAGAGACAGGGTTTCACCGTGTTAGCCAGGATGATCTCGATCTCCTGACCTCGTGATCTGTCCGACTTGGCCTCCCAAAGTACTGGGATTACAGGGGTGAGCCAACGCGCTGGCCCTAAGCCTGGTACATTCTTTAGTAAAGCAAAATAATTAGGCAGGAGACATTCTTCATTCTTGGTTGAACTAACTGCTGGCCTGTTCCATACATAAATATTAACTATGTGCCCCAGTCATGTTAGGTGATAGCACTTCTAGTGCAAAAGAGCATTAACCCTTTCCTTGTTCTCACACATGCCATATTCTTAAAAATCTGAAAACAATGAAAAAATATCTAAAACAATTTTGTTTGCTTTGCACTCTGATCCTTCCCAATGTTCAGATAGCAAGATGGAGTGAAGAGTGAAAGCCCCTTTGCCCTGGAGCAGATAGTGGCAGTGTGCTCCTCTTGACACCCCCAGGAAGCAGGCCACAGGTGCATGGAGCTGTGTTCACTGTGAAGTGGATTCAGCCTGATAACATGGAATCAATGATGCCATTGAAATAAAAGCCAGATGTAATCCTGCCCACACTCTATGATAGCTGTCCTACATCCAGAGTGTCCTTTCTTCTTCCTAGACTGTAGTTTTTCATTTATAAATTAAGGGTGTGGGGCTGGAATCATGTCTAGGTCCCTTCCAACTCTCTAATTGCAGATTCCAGGATTCTCACTGCAGATCCTTTGCATGTTACCGTGGTGCTTGATTGCCCTGCCATGTGATGTGGCTTTTTGTGAGCATCTTTACCACTTGATTAGGGAGGAATCTGTGGGATAGCATTTTAGAAAAGTGAACTTCATAGAGGTTGCCATGTTTATAGTCATTTTAATGATGTGGATGAAATTTAAACTACCTTGTAAATAAAAAAACGTAGACAATGGTGACGAATTCAGGGACTGGAGAGGTTGTCACATCCTTGTTAACCATTAGCAGTGTTTCCTTTAAAACAGCAGCTTTTTGCATATTAGCAAAGCGAGCATACATTGCTCATTGCCATGAGAGGTGACGACATGAAGATGGTGCATCCTGCAGATACATTGATCCCTTTCTCTGTTTTCTCCTAGGGTTTTCCAGGAAACACAAACGCAGACAGTGTGGTGCACTACAGACTCCAGCCTCCCTTTGAAGCCAGGTTCCTGCGCTTTCTCCCTTTAGCCTGGAACCCCAGGGGCAGGATTGGGATGCGGATCGAAGTGTACGGATGTGCATATAGTAAGTGGCCTTTATTCCCTGTGTGAAATCAAGGTCAGCATGAGATTCTGTCAAAGCCAAACTGTAAAAGCCAATGTCGGCATGAAATGTTGAACTTGACTTTTTCTGTCTTTTTATATAGCTGGGCAAGCAGAACTGGTTTTTATTGAAACACTCTAGTGTCTCCCCATGACAATATGGACTTTAGTTACTGTCTTTTATAGTTGAATTTAGTGGTGGACCTGAACTGAAACTTACCTGTCTTTAGATTCCCAGAGTTTAGCAAAGTACTTGCAATATGGTAGGCATCTGATGAAACGAATACAATTCAAACTAACAACAGATGATGCTGTTTTTCTGAAGCTGAGATGACACGCTGTCTGGGAAAACAGGAGCTGTACTGGGGGCAGGGTGTGATTTCTCGCAATCTCTTGGTTCTCTGTGTTTTTCTCTGCTAACGTCCTCTTTTGCACACCGTGCTGTCGCTTCACTTGATCTTCACTTGGTGGGAACCTGTGTTTAGTCAGCCTCTTTTCTCACCTATTCTTTGTTATAAAAGTGGAAAGGATGGGGCCGACATGAATATAACACAAACAAAAAGCCGGCCGTGAGATTATTTGGTGGTACTCAGTGACACAGTTGCCACTTGATGATCTAGAACATACTTGTATTCTTTCTTTACATTATCATAAAAATGTTTTAAATTATTGTCAAAATGGAATAAAATTGAAAAATACTCCTGTATAAAACTGGAGAACAAGTCAAAGAGCAGCCTGGATGGAAATGTCTTAAGTGGCTTCAATTTGGGTCCGGCCGGATGTTCATATCACACTATTTACACACAGTCACTCCCATTCTCTGCCTACTCACAGCTTTAGCCCTGCAGAATATTAATTTTCTAAAGCATGATAACAACGTCTGTCATTCATGCAGCATTTAATGTCTCAGATACTATTATTTCCATTTTATTACATAACCCCTGTACAACCCAGTTCATTTCCTAACTCTGCTTGTTTTTTAGTGTTTACATTTCTACAGGGCTAAATATAATGATGTTGCTTTACCAACGGTCTTTTTTCTTCCTGTTATTGTTCATCTCCTTCCATCCCTGTGTTTTCTGGGACCTATAACTGTGCTCTCTGTTTCAATGGCTAAGATGTCTGATATTTAGAATCTCTCTTTGATGCTGTGAAGTTACCTTCTCCTCTCATTACTCTGAAACAACTTCAGGTTTACTGACTTCAAAGTGGAACATGCTCTTTGATGGCGATTTGCCATTAGCTTGATGTTCCTTCATGAAGAGATATTACTCCAGTTCCTTGGGCTGGAGGTTGGTACCAGGAAGATCAAAGCCCCGTGCCTGATTCCAGGAAGGGCCGGTGGGCGGTGCAGCTGCCATGCAATCTGCTGGCACCGTTAACTTCTGTAAACACATGCTGTTGGCTGTAAGGGACTACTAGTAAAAAAACCCAAACATGCAGACAGATAATATGTGACCACTGCTAACTAGCTAAAAGTAATTCATTAGAACAAGTGGACATCTACATTGTCTTTTTTTCCTTAGAAGAATAATTGTTCAAGTATGGTGATTTTATTTTTGTTGTTGACAGTAATACAATCCTTTATGACTTATGTTAATAATGGTAGTTTCAGTATTTTCCTTTGTATTTCCACTGCCCTGCTTGTTTTCTAGAACGTTGCTTATAATGACTTATAATATCCCTTCCACGCAGCATCTCTTCCCATTTATTTATTTATGTATTTATCAATTTATCTTTTTTTATTTTAAGAGGCAGGTTCTCATTATGTTGCCCAGGCTGGAGTGCAGTGGCTACAGGCACAATCCCACTGCTGATCAGCACGGGAGTCTTGACCTGCTTCATTTGGGAGCAGGGCTAGTTCACTCTTCCTTAAGCAACCTGATGGTCCTCCGCTCGGAGAGATCACCATTTGATGCTAAAATTTGTTCAGACACCTGATCATCATAGTGCACCCCTGGGCTCCATCGATCCTCTACCTCAGCCTCCTGAGTAGCTGGGACTGCCCAGCCCTAGTGTTATTAGCTTTTCTACACTTCATTTACAGTAATAGATTCATTATTCCTTTAAACTGTGTGTGTTTTCACAGACTCCTGGCTTACTCTATGCATTTATTTCTATTTCCACTTCTAGCCTGGGGATAGGTTGTAGGTTCTCCCAGAGTTGCTACTCAACTGCAGAATAAAGCCATGAGCACAGATGGCCTCGGGCCCTTCTTGACAGCTGTATTCTCCTGGTTTTCCATGCACCTTTGCATGCTACTCTTCTTGCCACTCCTTAAAGGCTAACATTATCCACAGATTGGTTGTAGGTCTTTTATCCTGCTCCCAAGCTCTCTCTGAGTCTTTTATCCACTTCCATGAGTTTTCAGTAGCATTTACACACTGTGGCTGATAACTTCCAAATAGACGTATCCGCAACCTACTCTGAGGAGTTCCAACCTCTGGTACCAACCTCTCTTCACTGGCCCTGTGAGCACTTAAAACTCAGTTGTCTATCTGCTCATTTTCCTTTGTTTTCCATCTTATAAAATGATACCAACAGCCACCTATTGACTGAAACCTGATTCTATCTCCTAAATGTTTTGAATTTCTTTCTCTTCCTCCAGTTTAGCCTAAATGAGCACCAGCCTCCTAAATCAGCTATTTGTCTCTGGTCTTGATCTTTCCAGTTTTTAGTCCACACAATAATCAGGATGATTCCTGGAAAAACATGCACATTCGATTGTTCAAACTCGATTGTTGAAACATGCTTAAAGCCACACCCAAGACACTAGGATTGTTTCCCAGAGGCCTTAGACAGAAAAATAAATTCCCTATGCTCTACTGCCTGTCCAGGCCTTTGAGGGCATCTCTCAAGAACAAAGGGGAACTCCCAGAATCTTAGGCCAGAACCCTATGAGTCCTTGACGCATCTATCTCTCTTGCCCTCCATGTCCAGTGAGTCACGAAATTCTGTATTCTTCCTTCCAAATTACACCTTGCATGATTTCAGCTCTCTTTAGCTCTACTACCGACTTAATCTAAACTTGGTGTCCCACAGATTATGGAAATTGCCTTCCAAGTTTGGGTCATTCTGTCTCTGTTCATAGCTGACTACATTATATTCTCCACACTGCAACTCAAGTTACCTTTTAAAAATGCAGAACTGATACAATTACGTCCCTGTTTAATACCATCAGTGGCTTTCCATTGTTCCTAAAACAACATCCAGACTCCCAGCAAGGCCTGAAGGAGCTTGTCCCTGAATAACTCTCCAGTGCCACCTCTTGCTGCCGTCACCTGCTACCTGTCCACTGTCAATTGTATCCAGCTTTTTACTGACTCAAAGCCTTTACGCCTGTGGTCTCCCCTGCTTGAAATGCTCCTTCCCTATGTTCTTGACTGGCTATTTACTCTTCCTCTTTTGGATCTTAGTTTAAATGATGCTTCCTAGGCCCTCACTCTACATTTGGTTCCTCATTATAAGTTCCCAGGAAGCCTATAGTATGACTTCATGTGCTATAGTCACTTTTTATAATGTATCTGTATCTGTCTTATTAGAGGCCTAATTTCCTTTTTCCTCATTAGCCTTCAGGCTACACTAGGGTAAGGTACATTCATTGCTGTAACATCAGCACCTAATACAGAGCCAGGAACATACTAAGTGCACCATAGCTTTGCATTGAGTGAATGAATGAATGAAGCAATTCAGAAAAAAAGTCTGACAGATGATAATAAAATCTGAATAATGAATCTAAATTTCAGATATTTATTTCTCTCTTATACTAGCCATCCAGGTAAGGCAGGTATCTTGGAGATTATATTGTTATAAAGTGTAGTATTAAAAATTGTAATAACTCTAGTAAAAATAGCGAATATAAGGTTTTACAGTTATGTTTCCATTCTTCCATCTGATATTTGATGCATCTTTATGTAGTAGAAAGGCAGTTATTAACACCCAGATGTTCCAAGTGAGCAATCTGAGAAGCCACACCAAGGGCCGGCAGTGCAGGAGCTACAAATAGTCACCAGAGACAGGGAGAGGACTCCAGTCCTCTGACTACCAATTCCATGTTCTTGATGGATAATAACTGCCGAGGTTTCATAAAGGATCATTATATTGATACTTGTTTTGATATATTGCTATATTGATTGATGGCGGCAGCTTCTTTTCTACTTTCAGAGAGACAGCATCAAGCTGCATTGTATTGTATATAAACATTTAGTTTTTGATTCTGTGCCTTCCTCCTTTTTATCATGCCAGCTTTAATTATCCTCAATTTCAGAGTTCTTTAAATCACTCCACTTTCTTTGATATTAATGCAAAAAATAGAACAGTCCTCTTCTTGTTGTTTTCTCAAGTGGTTAGTATCCTTTCCATCTCTTTAATTCCCAGTCCGCTAGTGCAGATTTTAAGGGCTTACATTCCACTCCATGCTAGTGTTTCAGTATTTTCATTAGATAACACTCAAACATGGCTTTTGTCTGATTCATGTTTCTGTTAAACTGAGATTGGGCTTCTATTCCTTTGTAAGTCACGGCAATAATTCATGAAGAAAAAAGAAAATGGTTAGTATTCAAGGTTGACTTCATAAATAACCAAGAAGAGCTTGGTTCACCACTTTTTTGGTCCCTTAGTGGCGGAAAATTTGGTGGGGGAGGGGGTCTGGGAGTGGTGGATTCCTTTTTAAAATTTTAATACTTGGAGCACAGCCGAGATAATTAACAGAATTCTAAAATGTTCTTTTCACGAAGATTTCTTTTATAATGTCCCAAGTGAAAATCATTTTTTATTACTCACAGGTAATTCTTTATTCATGCATTTTCTGTTACATTTTCTTATAACTTAGTCTTCAAATAGTTTTATATGTCATTCAGACTGTCTTACATAGCTATGCTATTACCAATCAGTCCTTTTCTTATTCATCATTCTAGCTTCACTTATAATTGGTTGAACCATATATTTGCCAGTTTTGTAGATCAAATACAGTTGAATATTAGCAGCTTCATCTGGATTAACTGAGTGCTGTACTGTTTTCTGTAGGAACAACAGATGGCAAGTGGAGGTTTCCGGTAAAACAAAACAAATAGAACAAATAGTGACTGGACAAAAGCAAATTTTATTTTCTCCCTTCCAAAATTTTACCTGTCCTTGATTAGAATTTGAGACATGGGAAATTTTCATAACTCCTGAGATGGTCCAAGTTTGTATTTCTTCATTGGTGTTCTAATGAAGTTAGAACTACCTACCTCTGTAAAGTTCCTTTAATTGTTTTATCACTTTTATATATACACGCTGTGCTAGTTTGCATCACTGGCACCAATTCTGCACCTGTTCCTTGCCAGTACCTGTGAGTGGCGTATGCTTCCCTGCCCCCTGATTTTTGAGCCAGCCAGTGACTTCCTTTGGCTAGTGGTAGGCAGAGTCAACTCTACAGTGTACCTACTGTCCTCCTTTGTGTCTACCATTAATAAGCATGCCTGAACTATGAATTCCAGTAAAATGAAAAGAGATACATGCTTTACATATTTTGAAGCTGTTTCATTAAATGCATATAGATTGGGAATTGTTTTATCTCCCTTAAAGTTGATTTTTTGTAATTATGAAATATCCTTGTTTATTTCTAATAATGCCTCCTGCATGTAAGTCTGCATTCTCTGATGATAGTACTGTATAGCTATGCCGGATTTCTTCTGATTATTGTTTTCATGGAATAACTTTTTCCATTCTTTACTTTCAAACTTTTTGTCTTCATATGTAAGGACTCTTTCTTTATTATTTAAACCGAATCTGGAAATCATTGAGTTTTAGTTGTTATATTTAGTCCACTTATATTAAATGTAATTACTGACATATGTGAAATTGTAGCTGACATGTTACTCTCTGTTTTATATTTGGTTCACTTGTTTTATACTCCTTTTTCTCTCCTCTTCTTTTGGGTTAATCAAGTTTAATTTTTCCAGTTTTTCCACTATTGTTTGCTGTTCTAATTTTGTTCCCCCAGGTACTTGAGCTACTACTTTTATCACTTTCCAAACAATACTAGGATGTAAGTACAACTTATGTTAGTTTAGTTAAACTCTTCCCACCATGTGTGCTATGTTGACACATTTTAGTTTCATACATACATGTGTATATGTGTACATATATTTTTAATCACAAAATTTAATATAATTTTGTTTGCAATCAGTATTCACTTGAATCTACTCACATATTTACTTTCTCTGCATTTTCATGCTCTTTCTGAATCAAATTCTTTCAGCTAGAAAGACTCCTTTTAATATTTGTCTTAGCCCAGTTCTACTGGTAATAAATTGTCATATAGCTTTTGTTTGCTTGAAAATTGTCTTTATTTTATGTGAACTTCTGAAGGCTGTTTCAGCTTGCTGGAGAATACGGTCTGTAGTTATTTTCTTTCGGCCTTTTAAAGATGGCATTCTATTGTTTTCATGATATTTATTAAGAAATCAATAGGTAATTGATTTTTATCCTATAAGGGAAATGTGTATTTTTCTTCTGGTTACTTTTGAGAATTTATTCTTTGTCTTTGATTTTCAGCAGTTTTGCCTTGATGTGGCTATTTTAGTTTTCACTGAATTTGTCCTCTTTGGATTTCACTAAATTTCTTTTTTCTGTGCATTGATTATTAGATTGGGTAATTCTTCACTGTTACTTCTTCAAAATATTGCCTCTGTCTCGCATTTCCTTTCCTCCTTTCTGAGACTCCAATTACATCTGTCTGAGATGTTTGTATCTTATTTTCTTTCTTTGTCTCTCTCTTTCTCCCTCCTCCTGCTTCTCTCTCTCCCTCTCCTCTTTCATCTTTTCTTTCTATTTATGCTGCAGTCTAGACATTGTGTACTGCTTTATCTTCTATACTACTAATCAGATCTTCTGCTGTGACCAATCTGTTGTTGAATATGCCAGTGAGCTATTAATTTTAGTTATTGCGATTTTCAGTTTGGGAATTTCTGTTCATGTATCCTAGTGAAACTCCTTATCTTGCTCTCTATTTTCCTGGAAATATTAATTACAGTTATTTTAAAGATTTTTCGTTAACTTCAATATCTGGATTATCTCTTGATCTTTTCCATTGTCTGGTTTTTGTTTCCGTTTTGATGTCTGATAATTTTGGCTGAATTCTGGACATGTTGGACAGAAATTTGTAGAGGCTAGAGAAGACAAAGTGATCCCCCAGTGAATCCCCACCACAGCCTCTGATAGGCTTCTAGATTAGGCACAGTTGTTAATTCAAATCAGCATTTAACTGACTCAGTGCAGCGTCTCAGTCCCCATGAGGCCTAGTTGATATCTTATATCTGGAGTACAATGCTTCACTAGTCCCAACTGAGATTTGAAGGCCTTTGCCAAAACATTTTTTTGAAAATCTCTGAATTCTGCCATCTGACTCCTAATTGTGATGAGTCTACAGAGACCCCTGCTTCGTGACCCAGCCTCATAGCTGTCCTGTCACTTTCTGCTTGGCCACCTTGTCTCTTGCCCATTGCTCCTTGGGAGTTGACCAGTGCTTCAAGGGTAAAAGCAGAAAGAGTGTTCTGAGCTTGTCTTCTAAGATCTTTACATTCTTGAGTCCTGGCAGTCATAGTAGATCTTTAAAACTTTCAAGAAGATTATTTAAACTTTACTTGGTACACATTTTCTACTTGTCCTTGGTAGGAAGTGTAGTCTTCTGAATGTTTGCTTGTCATAACTGAAAATATAACTAACTGCATTTCTTTTAATGCCATGGGAAATGTATTGAAGAAAACAAAGTGTATATAATTTTTTCATATAATAATGTGTTTATAATACAATCTACTTAATATTTTGGAAAATTATTTTTCTGTAAAACACTGAAGTGCTAATTAAATTTCAATAAATATTTTTTAAAAATAAATAAAGCCGGTCACAGTGGCTCATGCCTGTAATCCCAGGACTTTAGGAGGCCAAGGCAGGCAGATTACTTGATTGCCCAGCCTGGGCAACACAGCAAAACTCCATCTCTACAAAAAATACAAAAATTATCTGGACATGGTGGTGTGTGCCTGTAGTCCCAGCTACTCAGTAGGCTGAGGTGTGAGGGTCGCTTGATCCCAGTGAGGTCAAGGCTGCAGTGAGCCAAGATCATGCCACTGTACTCCAGCCTGCGTGGCAGAGTGAGACCTTGTCTCAAAAAAAATAAAAATTTGTAATAAAAAAGTAAAATAAATAGAAACTCAAAATAAGATGAAAAAGTAAATCCATGTCCATCAGAAATAAGTAAGTTGAAGAATTGGAATGTGAACCTACTCACAGAGGATTCCAGACTCTGTGCAATCAACTATCTTTACCAGGAAATGGGAGAAGGAGAAAAGAGAGAGGAAAGAAAAGAAATAGAGAGGAAAGATCATGCATGAAAATTAAAGATAGAGATCAAGGCCTTTACTGAGAATGCAGAACCAAGGCCTGTTTTCCCTAAGTTCCTCTTATTATGCCCAGAAGGAAAGAAAATATGTGAGTGAATAAAGGCAAATATTTCCTAGGAAAGCTTTGTGTATTCATCGATTGCAGGATTCAATATTCTTATCATCCTCCCCGAATTGATCTACGGAATCCCAATACATCTATTCTAACTTATTATTATATTAAAATGAATCATCACTAGTCTTTAGAGAAATAAAATCACAATGAGAAACCACTATACACCTAGCAGAAAGGCTAAAATTAAAAAGGGTGGAAACACCAAGTGTTTGGCAAAGATATGGAATTCTCATACATTGCTGGTGGGAAATGTGAAAATGATACTATCACTTTGGAAAACAATTTGGCATTCTTCTAAGCTAAATATACACTTAATATATAGCTCAGCAATTCCACTCCCATGTATTTACCCAGCAGAAATGAATGCATATGTCAACATAAAGATGTATGTGTGAATGTTCCTAGCAGCTTTATTTATAAGAGTTTAAACCTGGAAACAGTTCAAATGTCTATCAGCAGGTAAATGGATAAACAAGTTGTCAAACAGTTGAATACCCCAAGCAATAAGAAAGAACAGACTGTTGATATATGCAACAGCATGTGTGTATCTCAAAAATGTTACACTTAGCAAGGAACTCAGACACAAAAGAACACATACACGATACAATTTTATGAAATTTTGGAACTGACAAAACTAATCTGTAGTTACGGAATGTAGATCATTGGTTTCCTGGGTCTGGGTCTGGGTCTCGGTGACAGTGTTGGGAGTTTGATGCAAATGGCAATTAGTGAGTTGATATGAAATTGCCTACACCTTGATTCTTTGGCAATAACGTAGGTATATATATTTGTTAAAACTCATTGAACTATAACCTTAAATTTATTGAATATAAATTATAACTCTATGAAAATGATATTTATGTTTCCATATTGGCAATTGTGGGTTTTGTTGTTGTTTTTTTGAGAGGGAGTCTCTCTCTGTTGCCCAGGCTGGAGTGCAGTGGAGCAATCCTGGCTCACTGCAACCTCTGCCTCCTGGGTTCAAGCTATTCTCCCACCTCAGCCTCCTGAGTAGCTGAGATCACAGGCATGCACCACTACACCCAGCTGATTTTTTTGTATTTTTAGTAGAAATTTTACCATGTTGCCCAGGCTGGTCTTGAACTCCTGACCTCAAATGATACACCTGCCTTTGCCTCCTAAAGTGCTAGGATTACAGTGTGAGCCACTGTGCCTCACCCCATATTGGAATTAATATTCAATTTATTTAGAGAGTAAACCTCTGTAATTTGCCCATTATCCCTGATAAATCATCCTGAAGCCTTTGTGTCATCACAGCTACCTAGTTAGCTTATTAAATATGCAAACCCCTGGGTCTCAACCACAGAAATCCTGATTCCTGGTCTGGTTGAGGCTCACGTTCTAAAGTCTCCAAGTGGTCACTCCTAGTCAATCTGAGTGAAGGTGATTGATAGAACACTTTAAGAAAATTTCTGTGGAATCGTGTTTTTTTTTTTTTTCTTTTGTAAGACATCAGTGTTTGCACCCTATGGAATCTTGCTGTTTTCAAGCAATGTTTTCCTCTCAATGTTGATGTTTCCCCTGAAAAGGCAGTACAAGGTAGGATGGGGATGAGACATGCCTGTGCTTAGAATGACAGTGAGAAGTAGAAAAGTAGTAATGAGAAGCCAGATTTAAGAGTACATTCTGGGTGTGAAAAATGTGAAAGTAGGCCAGGTGGGGTGGCTTATGCCTGTAATCCCAACACTTTGTGAAGCTGAGGTGGGCAGATTGCTTGAGCCCAGGAATTCAAGACCAGCCTTGGCATCATAGTGAGACCCCCATCTCTAGAAAAAAAGTAAAAAATTAACCAGGCATTGTAGTGCATGCCTATAATCCCAGCTACTTGGGAGGCTGAGGCTGGAGGATCACTTGAGCCCAGGAGTTCAAGGCTGCAGTGAGCTATGAAGGTACCACTGCACTACAGCATGGGCAACGGAGTGAGTCTCTGTTTCTAATAAAAGTAAAATGTGAAGATAAAATATGGCGTAAGGAAATAAAGGAAATAACAACTCAAAATTACTTATGTCTTAGCTTTTCAGAGGCGTCATACTTTGCAGGAGTCTAAAGCAGGTAGACTCCTTCCTTATCCTTTCTTAGAAGTCATTCTGGACCAGATGCCTGTTTACAGAAGCATCACTGTGAATGTGGCAGAAACAATCATATTTCAGGATTATATGTCCTCTTTTCCATACTGTGGGATCCTTAAAAGTAATTCATTGTCTTCTGCATTTTTATCTTTCACCTGCATATGGAAGGCTTTCAGTGAATATTAGCTGTATGAATGAGGACATAACACATTTTAGCAAAATTACTTCTGACACAGTTCTTCCTTGTATGACAAAGTTCTTTATCTGCAAGAATTCGTATTTGGGAACTTTGTGAACACATCTGTCCTTAGCTTTTCCGGTATTCTTTGAGGAAGTGTGACAAAAACATTATAATTGCACCAATAATCTTCAAGTATCATTTAAAAACTCTCGTGGTCCTCTAACACAAGAAAATGAGATAGATATATTAATACTTCTGAGTAAGATTTAGGTTACCAGTGATTGAAGTGAGTCAGCCCAGGAACAAGCTGGCTGGCAGAGAAGGAGCTGTGTAAGTGTGGATGAATGGTTGTAAATCTCTTTTTCCTGGTGGAAACTGAAGATTTCCTAGGTCCTTCAAAAATTAAATCTGCTATCATTTTAAGCTGTCTACTTTCCTATATATCCCCTATGTGCTATTTTAAACTCATTTCCACCTCTTTTTCTGCCCAGTGCCCTGACAATAATAATGAAGCAGTCGTTCACTGAAGGTACCCCATGTGCCCAGCACTGTTGTAAAAGTACAAATACTAACTCATTTAACCCTCACAACGATCTTGTGAGAGAGGAGTGTATGTGTTCTCACTTCACTTATGAGTAGACTGAGGCAGAGAGAGGCTATGTAACTTTTCCAGGATGGAGTCAGGATTCAAGCCCACACAGTATATACTCTAGTGTACTAGAAAATGTGGCTCCTGATCTAATGGTGACAGACTAACATGTCAGGGGTCCACATTGCTAATACTGATCGAGATTCAGCAATCAAAACTATAATCTTAATTAATAAAGCTAATAATTATAAACTAAATTCATATAAAATTAGAAAAGCACTTCCTGCTTTAAACCACAAGCTAAGTTTTCTTTATTCATTTTGGATAGCAAGGCTTTCATTCTGAAAACTTTGAGGAACGTTGGATTTTATCGTAAACATAATAAGTGACATTAATTTTCCAGTATTCCACTACATTTCCTATTTATATAATTGAATTTCATACAAAGGATTTTTTCCAACAGATTTCTGAGAAAAGATTATATTAAATGTGTTACTGGAATTATTTTATTTTAGTGTATTATTCAAATATATATTGTAGGGGAATATTTGCATTGATTATGGCTAGGTAGAACTGTTCTTTCTTGAAATGGGGTCTTGCTGTGTTGCCCAGGCTGGGGTGCAGTGACACAAGCACTGCTCACTGCAGCCTCCACCTCCCGAGCTCAAGCGATCCTCCCACCTCCCCCTTCCAAGTAGCTGGGAATATAAGCAAGTGCGACCAGTCTTGCCATGCTGCCCAGGCTGGTCTCGAACTCTTGGGCCCAAGTGATCTGCCCGCGTCAGCCTCCCAAAGGGCTGGGATTACAAGCATGAGCCACTGCACCTGACCAGCTGGGAGAACTTTTCTTTGCTCTTGCAAGTGTTTTAAAATGCTAAAAGTATGACTTTTGTGGACAAGTGAGAAGAGAGTTTACCTTTTAGCATTACTTCTAAAGACCAAGACTTGAAATTTTGCTTCTCCAGTGGGAGGATCTTATTCAAGAGGGACTACATGGGAGTTGTCCCTCTCCAGTGCTGATCTTGGTGGGCTCATTACTGTTGACTTATTGAACTCAATGCTTTCCATCCCAAACATCATTTTTTGTTTCATATTTTTATGTATTGACTTCATAAATCATAGAATGTTTTATGATTTTTAGAAAGTTTGGATTTACAATTCATTAATCTGCTTTTATTTTAAAATATGCATAATGAGCTATAAGTATATTCTTAAATTTCTAGATACAAGCACTAGCGATTACAATAAAGAAAAAATCAAGGTATTAGCTAAAGAACAAAAGAGTTTCAAGGTCATTGCTTTATGTCTCTTTTACTTGATAAGTTTTTTACTATTCTATTTGCCTGAGGGAAACATTCCAGGAACTGTACTTCACATGCCTTAGAAGATCAATACTGCTGTTGGAGAGTAATAGTAAACATAGAATGAGAAAAAGAAATGTATAGGTTGCAATAATCCAGAAAAAACCTTTTCGGGAAGAAAACTTTGTTAGTCAACTAAAAAAAAATAGCTCAAATATTAGCATTTTCTTTAAGCAACAAATAAAGACATGATTATAAGTATAAGGGAAGTGCTAAAAATGTGAAAGTCTGTAGTCAATCTTTTTCAAGTTTCCCTTAGTTCATGGCCAGGGAATAATAATCTTAGATGTCTTCATTTACATTTGACAGAGAGTTTTGTTTTTATCATGAACACATAATAAGTTATGTAACAAGGAATAATTGTTTAATTTACACATATTTTACTCAGAATGTGCTTATTCATCATGCACTTGATACATTAATTCCTTGTAAGTACATTAACCCAATGTGAGAAAATCAAACTTCTAAATTTTAAAATGATACATAAAATGGAGAACTTTTGAAGTGCAGTTTATTATATGTATTTCAGATACTGTGAATGAAATGGATAGCCATGCAAAAAGTACTAGTAATATTTTTGTGAAATTAAATATAATTAAACAATGCCATCTTATTGGCTTGAATGACATCAGCTCATCAGCTTCAAATAGTTTCATATTTCACTAGGTTTTCATGCATCTTCATTTATTAAATAAATATATTTTTCAAAGGACAATTGCTTATTTTTCTTTTTACTTTTAAAAAGAAGAGATTTTCTGGGTAATATTAATTTCTTCATGTGATTTTGACAAATATTATCAAATATTATTTTATATTACTGATAAAATGAAACAACTTGTTTTTTGATGAGCTGAACATATGTGACATTTATAGTGAATTTATAAGACCCTGACAGAGTGCTGAGAGAGTGTGGCAGCATTGGAGTTCTGACAAGCTACAGCAGGAAGAACCAAAACAGAGGTGTTAAGGCCATGCTCTCTCAACAAAGCATCCAAGAAAACAAAACCTCTGTGCCTTTGTCAGTCAGGGCTCTCCAGAGAAACAGAACCAATAGGATGTCTGTGTGCCTGTGTGTGTGTGTGTGTGTGTGTGTATGTGTGTGTGTGTGTAGAGAGAGAGAGAGAGTTTTAAGGAATTGGCTTACCTGATTGTAAGGACTGGCAAGTCCTAGGTAAGAGGTGATATTGCAGCTGGAGTCCAGAGGTTGTCTGGAGGCAAAATTCCTTCTTTCCTAGAGAACTTCAGTTTTCTTTCTTTCTCTTACAGCCTTCAACTGATTGGATGAGGCCCACCCACGTTATAGAGTTTAACCTGCTTTACTCAATGTTTACTGATTTAATATTGGTTACCTCTAAAAAATACCTGCACTGCAACATCAAGACTAGTGTTTGACCAAAAGCTGTTTACCATGGCCTAGCCAAGTTGACACATTGCAGTGCCCATTAGCAGTACCATTAGCTGAGGGTTGAGAAAAATATTACATGTCAGCTCATTTAAAATACATTTATTACATGTCTAAAGCAGTAATTAATAAGTATGATATGTGTTTCTGTATCTTTACAGACAAAATCTTTAGTAAAGTAGGTACATGTGTAAGAATTAAGAGAAGCCAAAGCTACTGGGAATGAACAAAGGTATTTAAATTGAGTGACACTGATATTTAATATAAGAGTGACCTTAAAATAAATAATTTATGTAGTGAAATATGACTTCTTTCCTGAGTGTTTTTAATCAAACAGAATGAGAAGAAATGGGCTGCTCTAAAGATAAGAGCCATTGGGAGTAGATTAATAAAAGCATTTCTAGATGATGAAGTTTGAGAAAATGTTAGAAAAATCTAACAGTGGGTATTACATATATCAACTCCTGATGCCACCAGAAAATATATTATTGTCAGTTGTTTCCTTCAGTGAATGGCTTAGAAATACAATGTGTGTCTATGTGTGTGTGGTGTGGCATATGGATGCACACATTTTCAATGTGCTACTGTATGGCATATTTATATTTAGAATTGCTTTTTAATATCTTCTTTCCTAGAATCTGAGGTGGTTTATTTTGATGGACAAAGTGCTCTGCTGTATACACTTGATAAAAAACCTTTAAAACCAATAAGAGATGTTATTTCTTTGAAATTTAAAGCCATGCAGAGCAATGGAATTCTACTTCACAGAGAAGGACAACATGGAAATCACATTACTCTGGAATTAATTAAAAGAAAGCTTGTCTTTTTTCTTAATTCAGGTAAAAAAATACTTGAACTTTATACCAGTAGTTAAAAAAAATCTGTTTACATTTGTTGGTACTCAGTCTTTTCACAGTTAGATAAAATGACCATATAATTCATCATCTAAACCAGAACACCTTTAAGAAATAAAAAATACACAAGTGATAGTTACTCTGGGACAGTAAGTGCAAAGTAGAACTGCAATGAACAAATGTAAATGAAAGTTTAAGAGCATTACTACCAGATGCATGCAATACATATCCTAAGTATGATTTCTGTAAACAGCATATATTTTGACAAACTGTGCAAGATCACCATATGTGTGTATAATATATATGTAATATATGATTATCCATATCATAAAGACAATACATCATTATAAAATTATGAGATAATGCTGATAATGAGGTTCTAAGAAAGAAAATATTTGCAATGTAAATCCAAATGTCATGAGTAATAGAAAAAATACTAAGAAAAATTTCAACAAAGTGTAGAATTGAACTTAAAAAAATAAAAACAGGGTAAGGTTATTGTGTTCAAGATAGGGAGAAAGTGAGAAAACAACTCTGTAAGATGGAAAGTTGGATGCAAACTGTGATGCTCAACTAAAAAAGGGAAGCCGTGATTTTGAACAGAAATAACTGTTTTTTTCCTTCTCCTTTTAAGGCAATGCTAAGCTGCCTTCCACTATTGCTCCTGTGACCCTCACCCTGGGCAGCCTGCTGGATGACCAGCACTGGCATTCCGTCCTCATCGAGCTCCTCCACACGCAGGTCAACTTCACTGTGGACAAACACACTCATCATTTCCAAGCAAAGGGAGATTCCAGTAACTTGGATCTTAATTTTGAGGTTATTATAGATATATAGTTTAAATTAAATATAACCTGAAAAATAAGGTAGCTGCATAGAGAAATGCCATTTTATAGTAATTCATAACTAAGTTGACTAATAGTAATAGGTATGTCTGTCCCGGTACTATGAAACTGTTTATGCCTTCTAATAGGTCAGTTTATTATAATAGATCAACTTTTCCACCTTGAAAAGAAGTAAACAGTCAGTGTTAGGAAATCCACAAATGCAGAAATACCAAGGTAGCATTGTTATTAAATGTACTCATTTGAATATATTTCATTTGAAATTTCATCTGGTATATTACACTTGTTGTTTGACTATGCAGATTCCTGGGGGATTTTTTTTCTTGTCTTGGTGCAATCCTAACCAACATAGCATTATTTAGGATCACTTTGAGAAGTTAACAAGATAAACACCAATAGATTTATTAAATAACAAGAAAGTCAGATGCTCACATATAAATAATATCCTGATATTTTTTAAGTCATTAATGCTTTTTGCAACCCATTGCCCATATGTATCTAAGCTACACTGTTAAATAGCATCTATTCTTCCAGTCCTTCACAGGACACCTTAAAGTGTATGAAGGATCAGAACAAACCAGAAAAACTGTGATATTTACTGGCATAAGTGGCTTTGGCATATAATATTAAACTGAAGATCCTAGTCCTATACTGGATTATTCAGTTTTATTACTTTAATTTAACCATGTAATAGCAAAAGATAATATCTAATGCAGAGGTTGGCAAACTGGGCATCAGGCCAAGTTTGGACATTTTTTAATTAAAAAAATACAAAGCCTGTTTTTGTTCAAAAGAGAAGGTTTTATTGGAACATATTCTCTTTCTTTATGTGTTGTCCGTGGCCACATTGGTACTTCGTGTCAGAGTTGAGTGCTGCAAAAGAGATCATATGACCCACAAAGGGTAAATTTAACTACATGGCTGAAAATTTCAACGTGGCAGAAAATGTGTGTTGACTTCTTCCTTTTAAGTTTGTTCAAAACTGTGTGGTGCCAGAAATAAAGGTATTAACAGCTGCCATTATGATAGAACACTTCATTTGGAATAAGCAAGCATGCAAATATAAGATAATGGGAATGGATTTGTGACAATTAGTACTAGACCTATTAATTTATAAATGCTTTAAACACGTACCATCAGAAAATCACTAAACAATGTTATTTATGTCATTTTTCTTTCTAAGATCAGCTTTGGGGGAATTCCGACACCCGGAAGATCGCGGGCATTCACACGTAAAAGCTTTCATGGGTGTTTAGAAAATCTTTATTATAATGGAGTGGATGTTACCGAATTAGCCAAGAAACACAAACCACAGATCCTCATGATGGTAAGGAAGCCTAATGGGAAGGAAAGAAAAAAGGACATTTTATTTTTTGCATTTAAAAATTATTCATGTGAAGTCTCCATTTCATCTAATATTTTAAGAATCAGTTCTTACTTTAACAGCTGCCCATGTAATATAGTAATTTAGTTTTATTTATTTATTTATTTTTTTGAGACAGAGTCTCTCTCTTGTCTCCCAGGTTGGAGTGCAGCGGCGCAATCTCAGCTTACTGCAGCTTACGCCTCCCAGGTTCAAGCAATTCTCCTGCCTCAGCCTCCTGAGTAGCTGGAATTACAGGCGCCCGCCACCATGCCCAGCTAATTTTTGTACTTTTAGTAGAGACGGGGTTTCGCCATGTTGGCCAGGCTAGTCTCGAATTCCTGACCTCAGGTGATCTGCCTGCCTCGGCCTCCCAAAGTGCTGGGATTACAGGTGTGAGCCACCGGGCCTGGCCAATTTTTTTTTTTTTTTTTTTTTTTTTTTTTGAGACGGAGTCTCACTCTGTCACCCAGACTGGAGTGCAGTGGCACGATCTTGGCTCACTGCAAGCTCTGCCTCCTGGGTTCACGCCATTCTCCCGCCTCAGCCTCCCGAGTACCTGGGACTACAGGTGCCCACCAGCATGCCCGGCTTTTTGTATTTTTAGTAGAGACGGGGTTTCACCATGTTAGCCAGGATGGTCTCGATTTCCCAACCTCATGATCTGCCCACCTTGGCCTCCCAAAGTGATAGGACCACAGGCGCACTTTTTTTGTTTTTGTTTTTGTTTTTGTTTTGAGATGCAGTCTTGCTCTGTTGCCCAGGCTGGAGTGCAGCGGTACAGTCTTGGCTCACTGCAACCTCTGCCTCCTGGGTTCAAGCCATTCTCCTGCCTCAGCCTCCTGAGTAGCTGGGACTACAGGTGTGTGCCACCACACCTGGCTAATTTTTTTTAGTACAGACAGGGTTTTGCCACATTGGCCAGGCTGGTCTCAAACTCCTGACCTCAGACGATACACTCGCCTCGGCCTCCCAAAATGCTGGGATTACAGGCATGAGCCACCTTACCCAGCCTAATATAGTAATTTTTATTATGCATAAAAAGTTATAAAGTAAATATGCCTCATGGGACATCATTGTTTCATTTTTATATGAAATAAAGTAACTTTCTATTTTTACATGGAAATCAGAATTCATATGTCTCACGTGTTTTTGGTGTTGTTATCCACAGGAGACCAATCATTTTGCAATGGCAGTCCCTAATGATCTATTCCCTAATCAACTGGAAATACTTCCAAATCAGTTAATAAACTTCTTTCAATGTTTAAAGTTTGAAATATCTAAGTTGGGTTAAAGGGAAAGCTCATGTTTAGTTGTCAGTGTATCTCAGCAGCACATCATGGGAATATTTATTTGTATTGTTGGAAACATGTTTTCTTTCCTGTTATGTGCTGGAGGAGTTGGCTCATGGGTTGCAGGACCAAAACCTGAAAATATCTCTGACTGTGTGTCACCAGACCACACAATGAATACATCACTTAGGTTAGCATGAGAAAAGGGGAAAAACAGCTGTGAAGCCCATGAACTTTCCAAGAAGGTAAAGGAGAAAAAAAAAAAAAGTTGGGTTTGAAGTCTAAGTTTTACTATGAACAGCACCCTGCTGAGATCATAAAAATGAAAAATACCATCAAGATACATGAAAAAGGAAACACCAAAGGGAAGAGTGATAACAAGGCTCCACAGAGCGCAGTTTCCTTTGACAAGATGAAAAAGAAATGAAAAGAGGAAGGAGATAAATGGAACAGCCCTCTACCTAAAGTTTCTGTCCATGGAGAAACTGACATTTAAGTGCTGCTCAACAGGAAAAAGAAAAAAGACCTGGTTATTGAAGTTGGCTTTGTTGGAGATGCGTTACTCAGATACAGATACAAAGATGGGTTTGGCCAATGGGCATCCGTGTCAAGAAGCCTGACCTAACACGTTCTGAATATTAAGCTACCTTTTATCTGCCAGTCCTTGGTGTTCAGAAGAATCCCTCCTCCTCACCCTAACTTCTATGGGGCTATTTCCAAAGACACTGTCATTGAAGTGAGGAAGAGTGAGTTGGGCCTTATGACACAAAGAGACAAGACTATTTGAGGACAATAGACACAGGTTTTCATATACATTCCATGTTATTCTGAATTACTGATGGGTTCACTGATGGAATTATTGAGTATAGCCAATAAGGAGAACCACAGTTAAGCTGGTGTCTCTGGGTTCTGGACATCATCCTCAAGAAAACTATTTACTAATTACATTGAATGAGGTTATTAAAATGTGTAAGTTTCACACAAAAACAAAAAGACAATTCATTCCAAATTGTGCATATGGATATATAATGTTAATTATGGGAATTCCATTTTAAGAATTACTACAATTCTATGTGTTCTGTATAAAAACAGGAAAATAGTTGTTCCAATATATAAAAGGAAAACATTTAAAAATGTATTTTCTTGGGAAAATCAGTTGCCAGAATTCATTAGTCAACTAACAAGCACTCCTCTGTGGCAAGAAGCCCTGCTTCTCTGTTGTAGCAGGCAGCTACCCACCTAAATGATGAGGTCAAGAAATATACAGCTGATAAAAAGATAAAAAATATGTAATAGTCCAGTGATTACATGTGTACTACGGATCAGCGCCAATTAGTTGTAAGCTTTTGGTATTTAGTTCGTTACAGCAAATGTTTTCTTTTTTAAATTTTCTTCTGCAAATGTTTTCTTGTCATGAAAACTGTTTTCCATTTAGCAGAATTACAAAAATAGTCAAGAAGAAATGTTCTGATTGATGTATACAGTTAGAATGTGTATTAAAGATTATTATAAAATGATAACTGAATTATATCCATTTCTAAAGTATGTTGGGACAAAATTTTTTAAACATGTGATTCTGTTTTGAAAATTGTTTTACCACTGGATCAGTGTGGTTCTTAAACTTGGCTTTATCTTGGAGTCACCAGAGGAGATTCAAAAGATACCTTTACCTGGCTCCACCTCCAGAGATCGGGATTTTAAATGGTCTGTATCTGGATTTTAAGAGCCCTTCTGGTGATTCGACTGTTTAGCTAGGTTTGAGAGCCACTACCCTAGATGAGCTGTCCTGCTCCAGTAACATTCTTTTTCTAAAATCATTTATAGTATATTAGAAATAAATCCATGGAAATTCCAAGTAAAATCAGAATTACTGTGGTTTTTCTCTGGAACTGAAATTCCTATGTGTGAATAATGCCCAAGAATTGCTTATTCCTTTCACCAGCCAAACAAAGCAAAACAAACAAACAAACAAAAACCATTTAAAAACCTAGTAAGATGTTGACTTACCAGATATTAAAGCATGCTAAAAGCTTCTATACTAGAATCAGTATGGTAGTGGATAGGAACAGAGAAGTCAGTAGAACAGTCAAGATCTCAGAAAGATCCCAGTTTATGTGCAAAGTTGTTAGTAACAAGGAATGTGGCTCAATTCAGTGGAACAGGGATGAATTATTTCTGAAATTCTGCCGGAACAAACAAGTGTCCATAAGGCAGAAAATAAGCATGATCACTATCTTATACACACTAAGAATATGTAAATTAAAGAGGATGAGAAACAAACAACAATCTTAAAGAAAATCTATGAGGTTGTATGTAGGACCTAGGGTAGTATGAAACTTTCTTAACGAAGATTGGAAACTCAGAAGCTGTAAAATACAATATAGACATAATTGACTATATAAAAACATCAATGTTTTCATGCTAAAAATACTATATGCAAACATTGTATATAACTATTAGATCTGAAAACCATTTGAAAGGCTGTCAAATATAACTTTCCAACAGCTAAAAATATGACCAATACAAATATCAAATAAGCATGTGTCAAAGATTTAGTCAATTCGTTAATGAGGGAACCAGTAAAATAGTAAGCTGGTTCAATAGAGATTTTGAGGATTGTGTAGAGAAGACCAAATGTTGCTCAGGAGAAAGACTGAGTATGAAAATGTCCTGTTATTTGCTGTATCCTCAGGGCTAGCACAGGGCCTGGAAAATAGCTGGCATAGATTAAACTCCTGTTGAACTAAAATTATATTGAGACTCCTTTACTAATGCTGAGAAGTAGAGAAGTGGAGAATTTCTCACACACATACAGAAAGCCACATGGATGTCTGCCCAATTATAATAATACTTATGTTGAAAGAGAAGATAAATGTCATAGATTTCAGCTTTAGCAGGCAGACTAATCCTGGATTGATAAAAAGCCTTGTACGTCTTCGTAAAATCTGGCTTTAATTAGATAGAAGCACCACCTGTAAGGCTGCTCAATGTGCTCTTTTGTTTTATTTATAGGGAAATGTGTCCTTCTCATGTCCACAGCCACAGACTGTCCCTGTGACTTTTCTGAGCTCCAGGAGTTATCTGGCTCTGCCAGGCAACTCTGGGGAGGACAAAGTGTCTGTCACTTTTCAATTTTGAACGTGGAACAGAGCAGGACATTTGCTTTTCGGCGAACTTCAACGTGGTTCAGGGAGTTTCGTCCTCTTTCTTAAGGATGGCAAGCTCAAACTGAGTCTCTTCCAGGCGGGACAGTCACCAAGGAATGTCACAGCAGGTAAGAGTTGTATTCCCATAAACCTGACATATCCACACGGAAATCATTTGGTAATTAGTGAGTGAGTGAGGCAGTGAGATGCTCCATGCCCCCACTAGAGGAACAGATTGCTGCTTCCTTTTAGACTGTTCTGTGTGGTACACCCCGCTGCCACTAAAGTGTTCTTTTGACCAAAATGACTATATATGAGAAATATGAAATGCATATTTCTGCAGATGTACCTTCCCATATACAAGGAATACCCTTGAGCTCCATTTCCTGACAAACATATACCAGCCTCCATCCCAAAGAACTAGGGTCAGGACCTCATGGAACAGACAATACCTAGAGGCACATTCCTCTCCTGTCCTCCTTCTCCTTTCCCTTCTCCGCCCTGCCGCTCAGGGTCTGTGCACAAATATTCTATACACAGTAGGCAATTGATAACTATCACTTTACAGGGAAAGATGCCCGGCAAATACCAAGAGTTCTTATTCTTTCATTGATGGCTGATTCGTTTTCTGGGATAGCCGGGCACCCTGGAAGAATCTCAGCTCCTCCACTTACTGCCCTTCTGAAATGTAAATCACGAAGCCTCCTAAGCCTCAGCTGTTTTCACTTGTGAAGTGGTAAACCTCAGATCTCCTTTGCAGGGAGAACAATAGGAAGTCTGATTTTATTAGCACAATGCCCACCCCACACACAGGCCCTCACATCCGCACTCCCCATCAGGGCCTGTTTTTGTTGGGCAAATGCTAGGTTAGGGGCTCAAATCCCATGAAGCCAGACTGAGTTACAATAGATGGGAACTAATCTCACATGCAGTCAGATGTGGGCAAGTTTGTTAACTACAGAGCTGCTGGATTCTGATGATTGGATTTGCAGATGGGAGGAGCACTGGGTCCTAAATTGACATTGTGCCTAAATTGGCATCGGAACTAAATGGGGGCTTTAAAAAAAAAAAAGCGTAATCTGAAAAAGAAAAAGGCACAGACGAAGAGGCTGACTTCTGCTTGAGACCAGGGGGATATCATACTCAAAAAAAGATTCCTTTTGGCTGTAAGAGGCACACGTGACTATACTGCTATTAAATGTTGTGGTACGAAAGCACGATTTCAAGACCCGTGAAGAAATTCGGAGGGTGGGGCCTTATCTCAGTACTTCTGGAACAATCAGGCAAGTCCTGGGTGTTAGAATCTGTGTCCACCTCACACAGGTGTTTCAGGGGAGATAAAACAGATATTCAGAGGAGACGTATATTTTTTATCTTTTAGAAATGCAAACCTAGTTTCCATTTCCTCACGAATAAGATTTTTTCCAAGAAAGGTTAAAATCGTGACCCACACACAGATACAGAATGAACACATGTCAGAGATTTTCTTTAACTCATTGATGAGAGAACCAGTGTTAGGGAAATAAGTAAAGATAAAGTTGCCTACCAACATAGTGAATCAGTTTCACAAGGTAGAAATGAAATAGTCTTATTATGGAATAAGTATTAAGCCAGACTGTGATGTACATTTCAGGCAATCACTAATGTGATTGCAAAGATAAAGAAATTTCATCCATTTATATAGCCAGGCAGATACAACCCATTACATACATGTTCTAAAGATAAAGGACAACTTGTCCTCAAGTAAGAGGACTTGACAGCGCCTTTTGCTACACAGCCCATCTTACATTCACCTGGTGATTGGGGAGGCACACTCCTTTATGCAAAGGAAAACTAAACTCCATGTCTCTTTGACAAGTGGGTAGTTGCAACTTGGAGCCAGGCACCTACGTTAAAATCCCACGGAGACAAGGAGATAGGAGCACTGCCTTTCTTGGTGTTTACATTTCAAAGAAATGTCTCCAAGGTCCTCAAGAAAAACACTCCTGGAAACAAGAAAGAGGCTAAATAAGATTTTGTTTGTTTGTTTGTTTGTTTGAAGATTTTAAAGATGTACAATTACAAGTTTTCTGAAAGAAATGCTCTAAGGAAAAAAAGTGAATGACAGTGTGTATCCCTTTTAGCACTAAGAAAGCTTTTGTTTGTTTTGGTTTGTGTTTACCCTTACACCAGTAAGGCCTGTTTAAAGAAGTACCACACATTTATAGTCAGAAAAGAGATGCCGACTAGCTAAACTTTTCAATATCCAAAGGGAAAGGCAAATCCCTTCTCTGTACACACTTTGCATCTCTATGGACAAGCATTATTTGCATTATTATCAATGTTCTGCAAGTTAACTTCTGTCACTACACAGCTGTAAAGTAACTAGTCCAAGATGATGGTTTACAATCCCGTAATATCAGCTGATCTTTCCATTGAAAAGATACCCAGTAATCTCCTTTGCCCATTTCAAAGACTGCCCTCAATTTTTTTCCTACAGTAGTTGGTTCAGTTTTACTGCTGATGAGTTGCATATATTCTGGATTCAATGAAGTGCTGAACAAGCACTTCATCCAGTTCTGGGTTGCACAATAACTAGAATTAAATATAATTAAAGTTCTTAAATCTCATCAGGATTTTGCTTTAGCTCATGGCTTTGTGAGTATGATATTTTGCCTCTGCAGTTAAAATGTTGTAGTTGTTAACAAGAGATCATCTTCATATCAAATGTGTTTAAAATAACATCTATGTTGTGGGCAATTAATTTAGTAACTTCTCATTGAAATATTTACAGATTCTACTGTATCTGATTTTCTTGTGCATAAACTATGGCCAAAGGCCAAATACAACCTAATAGAAAACAAAAAGAAAACAAATGTGGATGATAGACATGAAAACAGTTATACAAAGATCTGCTTTTATTTGTCAAAAGATATTCTTAAAGAGGGCACTTTTTGCAGTTATAAAAAGAACATGTCAAAGATTTTGTTTAACTCATTAGTTTATGAGGGAATCAGTAAGATGTTACTGCTGCAATGATTTTGTGTATAATGTAAAACTGGCTTATTCCATGGGATGGGGTAGAGGAACCAGGAAGAAGTTCAGTTGTATTTCTGCCAGACAAAATTCATTTGCATGTCTATGGACAATAATCATTTGCCTGCTTTGAATTTTCTACAATTCACAGGGTGGTAAAGAATTCAAAGAAGGGGCCAGGTGTGGTGGCTCACGCCTGTAATCCCAGCAATTTGGGAGGCCAAGGCATACAGATCACGAGGTCAGGAGATTGAGACCATCCTGGCTAACAACGGTGAAACCCCATCTCTACTAAAAATACAAAAAAATTAGCCAGGCGTGGTGGCGGGTGCCTGTAGTCCTAGCTACTCAGGAGGCTGAGGCAGGAGAATGGCTTGAACCCGGAAGGCGGAGCTTGCAGTGAACCGAGATGGCACCACTGCACTCCAGCCTGGGTGACAGAGCGAGACTCCATCTCAAAAAAAAAAAAAAAAAAAAAAAAAAATTCAAAGAAGGTAAAAGGCACAGAAACCTGCAGAATCATATAATCCTCCAGATTGTGTTTAGACAATGCCTAGTTTTACATTGAAGACATCCAGAATCTTGGTTGATTTTAAAGAATAATTTATTTCCTTACACTTTATTACTACTTCTGTTTCTGTTTCATACATCACTGAAGGTTAAAAGGGAAAGCTAAAATATTAATGTTAATGTTTAATTTTTAAGAAGTACTACATTTGAAATGCTAATAATATACTAACTTCACATAAATGCATGTTAGGAAGAAAAATAAATGAAGCATAGAGTCATTTTAATAATTTACAGGTTTCCCAAGACTATCAAGTAAAATGTTAACTTTATAGGAAAATTTCTGTTAGTCTAAAGTTTATTATAATATATGTAACTTCTGAAATAGTTTCAATCTTGGCCTAATTTTAAACTTCAGTGCAAAGTTAATTTAATAGGCCTCAGGAAGCTAATCTTATTTTTAGCCCATTTATTGGCATGTATCTTTGACATATTATCAGGTAAAAGAAAGCACGGAATACCTCTAGTGATTTTAAATACCTTAACATTTAAATTTACCATCAAAGACAATTCATTATGTTACCAAATTATTTGACAAGATTAATTTCATAATTACTACTAAGAATCATAATGTGGATGTGAGTGTAAATATATAAAAATATTGTACATATATAAAGTACAACTCCAGTTCTTTCCTAAGCATTTTTTATCAAATATTAAATAATCGCTTTTATTTTATTTTATTTTATCTTTTTGAGACAGCGTCTCACTCTGTCACCCAGACTGGAGTACAGTGGTGTGATCTCAGCATACTGCAACCTCCACCTCCCAGGTTCAAGTGATTCTTATGCCTCAGCCTCCGAAGTGACTGGGACTATAGGCTAGTGCCACCATGCCCAGCTAATTTTTTGTTTTTTAGTAGAAATGTGGTTTCACCATGTTAGCCAGGCTGGTCTCGAACTCCCAACCTCAGGTGATCTGCCCGCCTCAGCCTCCCAAACTGCTGGGATTACAGGCATGAGCCACCATGCCCAGCAAATAATAACTTTTAAAAGACAGTATAATTATATCTATAATAATAATTTAATTCAGAAACACACGAATATATGTTAAAGATTTTAACTAATCAATGAAGAAACCAGTAAGATGTTACAATCAGTTCAGAGGATAATTCAAAGTACTACACATACAGGCAGATAAGAAATGCCAAAATGAATTACAGACAGATATGAAATGGTTCAGTAAGCAACTGCACCTCGCTAGGCACAAGTCATTTGTATTTCTATGGGTACAAGTCATTTTGCATTACTATCAGTTTTCTACAGTTTACAGGGCTGTAAAATAGCTCAGACAGTGAAAGCAGGGTTTACCTTAATTAATGGGTGCAGTAAGCCAGACATCCAGTGATCTTCCATTTCAAATCCTGTCACACCCCATAAGTATGTGCAATTTTGTGTCAACTTTTTCTAAAAAAACCTTTTCACAATCATTCTTGACATATTTTTTATCAACTCACTTTCTTGATTCTTGTAAAATGTTTTTGTTAGATTCAGTAAAGCAAGTAAGTTTTACATTTGAAGATTAAACCAAACTGTGTTGTTTTTATCCCATTGTAAAGGCTTCTACTGTATATATTTGATAATTAAATTCTAGTTACTTTAAGCAAATTACCAGAATTTGTTACAGTGATTCTTCAGAAAGAGTAATATTTTTATTCATGTGTTATTTTCGTAATAAATGAAATTTTTAAATTAAAGATAGGTGGTTATTGTTTTTTTCAGTGATACATGAACATGTAAATACCACTCTTCTCTGACTTATTCAGTGATCTGAATCAAATTGTTTTCAAGTGTTTACAGAGCTCATAATTTAGAGTTGTCTCTGACTGATTGTATTTCCTCCAGGTGCTGGATTAAACGATGGGCAGTGGCACTCTGTGTCCTTCTCTGCCAAGTGGAGCCATATGAATGTGGTGGTGGACGATGACACAGCTGTTCAGCCCCTGGTGGCTGTGCTCATTGATTCAGGTGACACCTATTATTTTGGAGGTAAGAGAAGGCAACTGAATGACACTGGCAGTGGAACCACTTTTTATCTTTATTGCTTTGCATTTTGAGTCTCTAGTCAAATTTAAACCAAGTTGATACTAAGAAATAATTTATCTCTAGCCATGAAATTAATACCTTTTGAGTTTGTAAAAAACATGAAACATTTAATCAATTTTTCTTCCCAATACAAAAATAAGTATCTGCAGAAAGTTTACTTGCTGTTTAAATAACTTCATATTTTCATTTAACATTAAAAGAAAAATATATTTGAGCTACATGTAGTAAATAAGTGGAAACTTTCAAACAATATCATAGTCATATCTCTACAACAGATAAATCCATTTATACTTCTAACAGTTAGCTCATAAAAACAAAACAAATCGTACTGTCTGAAGTCATTGGCTTACATAAAATATTACTTATATATTTAAGTCCACATCTAAATCTATACTATTGAATCATTATTAGTACACAGCTCAGTTTATAGATAGATGGATAAATATTTTTTACATGGAGAAGGCGTAATAGGAAATATCATACTGATTATGAAGTACTTTCAAAACATTGACAATGTAAACAAATATTAATTAATAGGAGACAAGCATATTAAATGAATCCAGTATAATTGGTGTTACACTGGTGCAAAGTATTGAATGTTTGCTTCCCCACCCCAGATTCATATGTTGAAATCCTGACCCCAAAGTCATGGTGTCAGGAGGCTTTGGAGGGTAATTAAGTCAGGAGGGTGGAGCCCTAATGAATGGAATTAGTGCCCTTATAAAAGAGGCCCAAGAGAACTCCCTTGCCTTTCCTGCCATGTGAAGTTATAAGGCGAAGACTGTGGTCTGTGAAGCAGACACTGCATCTGCTTTGCCTCAAACTCAGACTTAGACTTTCCAGCATCCAGACTGAGAGAAATAACTGTTTGTTGTATAAGCCACTCTGTTCATGGGGTTCTGTTAATAGCAGCCCAAACTGACTATGAGAACTCATACAGCTAAAGAAATGGAAACAAGTGGATCTTTTGATTATAAAGGAAGTTTGGATTTTTTTAAATTAAAAGAACCACTAGGAATAACAGCAAAACCCTGCTATGTATTCTAGAATGCTCCTGTGAATCCAAAGATTATGCTTTTATATCTGGAAACCACAGTTAAGAGAAACAATCATGTGAGAAAACTTATCACATGGGGGCATGGATGCCTGTACATTACAGCATTCTGTTATCATCCCATATCACCACATATATGATAAGAAAACTCACTCTCAAGTAAGAAAGTTTTCAACTAGGTACGAAATTCCATGCTGGACACAGATACAGAGAGCCACTTGCACTGTACCTAAACACTGAAGTGTTACTGAGGTAACTTAATTACTTGTAATTCTTACTGGAAAGGTAAATATATTCAGCCTTTCTTAGTAATAAAAATTATATGTAAACAGAAATATAGATCTAGTAATAGAAGACTTGTTATATACATGCAGTCCTATACATTGCATTTTACCTCATCAGTATTTGTGGTATTTCGCAAAGAATATATACTTTTCCAAATATACAGCCACAGACATTCAAAGACTTCACTGAGCTGTCCTCTGGCACACAGGTGTATTTAAATTGTTAAAGAAAATTAAAATGGCCTGAGGTATCTCTGACCAGACAAAGCCTTGTAAGTGGCCTTAACTTTGCTTGATTTACCAATATAAGCAAAACTTAACTTGAGCTATTTCTTGTAAATGGCTTTAAAAATAAAAAAAGTCAAACTTAAGGCTAACCAATCAGAAGCCAATTAACTTATATAACTAGAGACTTTCCAGCAGGATCAACCAAATAAGGCAATTGTATAACTACAACCAGTGAAAAATTTGCTACTATATTTACCTTACAGAAGCTGTCCCTTTTTGTTCCCTTGAAAGGGTCCCTGAACCAGTTCCCATTTGAAGCTGCTTCAACAGTGATTCATGAATCACTGTTAGCTCAAATAAACTTTTGTGCCTCCATTTACCTTTTATTAATGGATACATTTATATCTGTAGTTGGATGCTTTTTTCCTCTAAGCAGACACAAAGTAAACCTGAAGAGCTTAAGATTTTTATTTATTTATTTATTTTTATTTTTTGAGGCGGAGTCTCGCTGTGTCCCCCAGGCTGGAGTGCAGTGGCGCGATCTCGGCTCACTGCAAGCTCTGCCCTGCCAGGTTCACGCCATTCTCCTGCCTCAGCCTCCTGAGTAGCTGGGACTACAGGCACCCACCATCACATCTGGCTAATTTTTTGTATTTTTAGTAGAGACGGGGTTTTCACCATGTTAGCCAGGATGGTCTCGATCTCCTGACCTTGTGATTCGACCGCCTCGGCCTCCCAAAGTTCTGGGATTACAGGCGTGAGCCACTGTGCCAGGCCAAGATTTTTAAAATTAGTTAATGCCTTGGTGTATCTTGAGTGGATGATAACATAGGAGTCCTCAGAAAAATGCAGCCATGCCCGCCAGCCTTTTCAGAAGAACGAAGTTGGCTTAAGGAATCATCATCGGTCCAAGATTGTTAGTGATCTGAGAAATTTCATGTGCTGAGGATGATGCCAAATTAAGGGTTTCCAAGTATGAGTACCAGGATACCTCCTATACCTGCTCTCAGCCATATGTGGTATCGACAATTGCCTCTAACAAAATTTTTCCAAACCAAGTAGAAGAAAACAGTAAACGGAACAGAGATTTTTTTTTTATTAGGATGGGACTGAAATCTGTCCCTCCTTCAGGATGAGGGCTGTAATCTGTGTGACAGAAACAGATGACAGAGTTTGATCCACACTACTTTGTTTTCAGAATTGCTAGCCCAGATGGAATAGGTCCAGAAAGAAACTAATGAAATAAGCAATAGAAAATCTCAAACATTATAGTCTTTGACAATGTATATTCATATATAATTCCCATTTCCTACAGAAAATACGTGATGCTTCTCTTTTTTTTTTTAAACTTATTTTAGGTTCAGAGGTATACATGTTCAGGTTTTTTATATAGGTAAATTGCATGTAATGGGGGCTTGGGGTACAGATTATTCCATCACCCAGGTAATGAGCATAGTACCTAGTAGGTAGTTTTTCGATCTTCACCCTCCTCCCACCCTCCACCCTCAAGTAGGCTGTGGTGTCTATTGTTCCCTTCTTTGTGTCCATGGGTACTCAATACTAAGCTCCCACTCATAAGTCAGAATACATGGTATTTGGTTTTCTGTTCCTGTGTTAGTTCACTTTGGATAATGGCCTCCAGCTCCATCCATGTTGCTACAAAGGACATTATCTCATTTTTTTTATGGCTACATAGTATTCCATGGTATATATGTACATTTTCTTTACGCTACCGTTGATGGGTATTTAGGTTGATTCTATGTCATTGCTATTGTGAATGAACATGCACGTCTGTGTGTCTTTATGGTAGAAAGATTATTATTCCTTTGGGTGTGTACTCAATGGGGTTGCTGGGTCGAGTGGAAGCTCTGCTTTAAGTTCTTTGAGAAATCACGAAACTGCTTGCTGCAATGGCTGAACTAATGTATAATTCCCCCAGCAGTGTATAAGCACTCCCTTTTCTCCACAGCTTTACCAGCACCTGTTATTTTTCGCCTTTTAAATAATAGCAATTCTGACTGGTGTGAGATGGTATCTCATTGTGGTTTTGATATGCATTTATCTCATGACTAGTGATGCTGAGGAGTTTTTCTTATGCTTGTTGGCCACATGTATGTCTTCTTTTGAAAAGTGTCTGTTCACGTCCTTTGCCCGTTTTTTAATGGGGTAGGTTTTTTTTTCTTTCTTGTTAAGTTCCTTATAGATTCCAGACATTAGACCTTTGTCAGATGCATAATTTGTGAATATTTTCTTCCAGTAGGTTGTCTGTTTACTCTGTGGATAGTTTCTTTTGCTGTGCAGAAACCCTTTAGTTTAATTAGGTCCCATTTGTCAACTTTTGTTTTTGTTGCAATTGCTTTCGGTGTCTTTGTCATGAAATTTTTGCCATGTCCTGTGTCCAAAATGGCATTTCCTATATTTCCTAGGTTATCTTCCAGGATTTTTGTAGTTATAGGCTTTACTTTTTTTTTTTTTTTTGAGACTTTAGAGTCAGTCTCACCTGTTGCCCAGGCTGGAGTGCAATGACACGATACAGCCTCAACCTCCCAGGCTTAAGAGGTTCCCCCGCCTCAGCCTCCTGATTAGCCTGGACTACAGGCACGTGCCACCACATTCAGCTAATTTATTATTATTATTATTATTATTATTATTATTATTATTATTGTTTGTAGAGACGAGGTCTCGTTATGTTGCCCAGGCTTGTCTCAAACTCCGAGGTTCAAGCTATCCTCCCACCTCACCCTCCCAAAGTGTTGGGATTATAGGCGTGAGCCACTGCACCTGACAGGTTTTACATTTTATTCTTTAATCCATCTTGAGTTGATTTTTGTATATGGTGTAAGGAAGGGGTCTAGGAACTGCTTATGGTTAGCCAGTTATCCCAGCACCATTTATTGAATAGGGAGTCCTTTCCCTACTGCATGTTTTTGTCGACTTTGTTGAAGATCAAATGGTTGTAAGTGTGTGGCATTATTTCTGGGCGCTCTATTCTGTTCCATTGGTCTGTGTATCTGTTTTTGTACCAGTACTATGCTATTTTGGTTACTATAGCCTTGTAGTAGAGGTTGAAGTTGGCTAACGAAATGCCTCCAGATTTGTTCTTTTTGCCTTGGATTCCCTTGGCTATTCAGGCTCTTTTTTGGTTCTATATTAATTTTAAAATAGTTTTTACTGGTTCTTTGAAGAATGCCATTGGTGATTTGATAGGAATAGCATTGAATCTATAAATTGCTTTGGGCAGTATGGCCCAATATGGTTAAAAACCATATTTATTATTCCTATCCATGATTATGGAATGTTTTTCCATTTGTATGTCATCTGTGATTTCTTTGAGCAGTATTTTGTAATTCTTCTTGTAGAGATCATTCATCTCCCTGGTTAGCTGTATTTCTAGGTAGTTTATTCTTTTTGTGGTCATTGCGAATAGGATTGCATTCTTGATTTGGCTCTCAGCTTGCATGTTGTTGGTATATAGGAATGCTACTAATTTTTGTACATTAATTTTGTATCCTGAAACTTTGCTGAGATTATCAGATCGAGAAGCTTTTGGGCAGAGACGATGGGGTTTTGTAGGTACAGAATCATATCATCTGCAAACAGAGACAGTTTGACCTCTTTTTCTCCTGTTTAGATGCCTTTTGTTTCTCTCTCTTGCCTGATTGCTCTGGCGAGGACATCCAGTACTATGTTGGGTAGGAATAATGAGAGACGGTATCCCTGTCTTGTCCCAGTTTTCAAGGGGAATGCTTCACATCTTTTGCCCGTTCAGTATGATGCTGGCTGTGGGTTTGTCATAGGTGGCTCTTACTATGTTGAAGTATGTTCCTCCAATGCCTCATTTGTTGAGGGTTTTTAACATGAAGTGATGTTGAGAAAATACCTGATGCTTCTCTAGAGACAAATATATGAAAGCAAACAACATTTCATGAAGGAATGAGGAATATTTTGTGGCAGCAAGAATGAGAATGACTCTCCAAGATGCCCTGGAAACTGAATATGTTACATCACATAAGGGATTTTGCAGATGTAATTAAGGTTGCAGACCTTAGGAGATGATCGTGATTCATGCAGTGGGCTCCATGTAATCACATGAGCACTTAAGAGATTTAACTCTGGTTGGAGGCAGAAGAGACACAGAAGAGAGGTGTGGGTGAGGGGAAGCCAGAGAAACTAGAAGCAGGAGAATGTCTCTCTGCACCATTGCTGGTTTAGAAAATAAACTGGGCACTATGAAGAGCAACGCAGGCAGCCTGACATTGCTGAGAGGCCCCAACTACCAGCCAGTGATGAATTGGGACCTCACTCCTACAACTACAAGAAGTTGAATTCTGCTCTAACCTGTATGTGCTTGGACACACATTCTGCCCTAGGGCCTTCATAAGGAGCCCAAGAGCACCTTGATTTTGTCCTTGTAAGACTATAAGCAGAGTCATCAGTCCAGCCCTCCCACACTTCTAAAGTGAGAGATAATAAAGAGAATGTTTTAGTAATTTGTTACAGTGATGATTAAAAGCTGATACACATTCCAACCTCCATCAGATCCATTTACAGACATTCCCATTCAGTTCTAAACCCTTGGACAATGGCCAAAAAAAAAAAAAAAAAAAAAAGGTTTCCTCAAACACACCCTGAGAATATACTGAAAAAGATTACATATATATATATACATATATCTTAGGTGGTGGCCCACGCCTGTAATCCCAGCAATCTGGGAGGCTGAGGCCGGCGGATCACCTGAGATCAGGAGTTGAAGACGAGCCTGGCTAAAATGGTGAAACCCTGTATCTACAAAAATACACACACAAAAAAAATTTAGCCGGGCATGATGGCAGGTGCCTGTAATCCCAGCTACTTGGGAGGCTGAGGCAGGGTAATCACTTGAAAAAAAAAAAATATATATATATATATAAAAAATATTTTTTAAAAATATATATATATAAAATATTTTTTAAATATATATATGACCAAAGAGAATAGTTTCAACAGAAAGTCAAAATAGCCAACACAGTTTCTGTGTTTTGTTTTGTTTGGATTGTGTATGGCCTTCGAGTGAAGTAACATACATGATAATGAACCATATAGGGACACAGTGACAGAAATGGGAAGGCTGATCCATGATCATATATGCATACATAGATACACTATGGATTCCAAAGTCCCCTTTGACCTGAAAGTGTGAGAAGAGCCCATAACCCATTTGAAACAGATACGCAGCAACCACAACCCAAATTGTATATGCATAAGTAAAGTTGTCCTTATTTCAGAGATGATATTATGGATTGAATTGTTTTCCCTCAAATTCATATGAACTCCAGAATGTGACCTTGTTTGGAGATAAGATCTTTGCAGAGGTAATCAAGTTAAAATGAGGTCATTAAGGTGAGCTCCAATCCAATATGACCAGTGTCCTTATGAAAAATGGAAATGGAGGTGCAGAGACACACAGAGAAGGAAGACGCTGGGACAACATGCAGGAACAACGCCTCAGGAAGACAGAGGCCTAGACTGTTACACCTGCAAGGCCAGGGCTGTTTACTGGGTTCCTCCCTGACCCCACATCCCACCTGGGGCTGAACCCGACCCAGACCTTACCACCCACTGCTGCTACACTGCCATAAATCCCTTTTTCAAAAAAATTAAAATATTTATTTGACAAATAAAAATTCTATATATTTAAGGTATACTATGTGATGATTTGATATAGGTATACACTGTGTTCTGATTACCACAGTCAAGTTGATTAACACATCCATCACATCACACATAGTTACCATGTTGATGGCAGAGGGGAGTGAAGTCATTGAAAATCTGCTCTCTTACCAAATTCCAGGTAAATAACACAGTATCATTATGTATCACCATGCTGGATCATCATGCTGGATCCCTTTTGTTTCATGGGGTTGTATCACCATGAAACAGTATCACCATGCTGGATCCCTTTTGTTTCATGGGGTTGTTGAAAAAAGACTACAAATCAAGGACTGAAATGCATGTCTTCCAGATAGGCCTAAATAAAAGATCACACTCAGGAACCGATTTTAAATAGACCACCCTTTATGAAGCTTCCCTTCATCATTGTGCCCAACGGAATTGTAACAGTGTGAAATGAGTGCCACTACCTTTTCCACTGCTTTATGTGCTGGTTTTATTGCACCATACAGGTATCCCTAGAGCCTCGGCTCCTCTGGAGCATCTTATTGATTTCCCACTGCCGCATGAAGAAAGGCCATGCTTTGCCCAAAGTGACTAATAGTTTTACTCAGTCGGTTATTTCAACTTATTTTTATTGCCCAGTAATGATGCAGTGAAACATTTTACCAAGTCAGGGAGCGCATCAGCCTTTCCTAGACAATAATAAACAGAATATTTGCCAGCTCAGTCAATGATTGAGTACAGCCAAGAGACACTGCAGCCTAAGAGAGGGCAGTCAGAGTGGGGAGGTCACAGAAGGGTGCAATAAATCTTCTGCCCAGGGATGTTTACTCAGAAAGTCCTTGGTCATTAGAAATGTCATTTAACTCTGTAAATAATAAGATACATTTGCTAATCAATGCTTGAGGTGCTTCTTGAGAGTATTAGTATAGTTTTGCATTTTACTGTTTTTTTTTTTCCAGAATCCTTTTAAAATTATGTTGGAGACAGCACAATATGAAAGTAAAATTCGGCCAGGCACAGTGGCTCACGCCTGTAATCCCAGCACTTTGGGAGGCCTAGGCAGCTGGATCACAAGGTCAGGAGATCGAGACCATCCTGGCTAACACGGTGAAACCCCGTCTCTACTAAAAATACAAAAAAAAAAAAATTAGCTGGGCATGGTGGTGGGCGCCTGTAGTCCCAGCTTCCCAGGAGGCTGAGGCAGGAGAATGGCATGAACCTGGGAGGCAGAGCTTATACAGTGAGCTGAGACTGCGCCACTGCACTCCAGCCTGGGTGACAGAGTGAGACGCCGTCTCAAAAAAAAAAAAAAGGTAAAATTCATCCCTAAAATTGGCTGTCAGCATGGAAATTATAAAACTCATTTTCTAAACTCTAACAGTCCTTCAGAGCAAACTTTCCAAGAGCAACTGTGAAAACAGACAATGTCAATCTGCAAAGTTTCTGATTGTTTTCTTTCCTCATATTCCGAGGTGTGCATATGTGCCTCAAATTGTATTAAAACATTTGCTATAGATGACAGATTTTATAACAAAAAACAAATAAGCCAATATATCCAAGACCTATCATTTCAAAGGTAAAATATTTAGGAAGCACTAAAAGGGATAAGAATGAAAGTACTATTCATTTTTTTAAGTGATACTAAATAAAGTTGATTATAGAAAATGATTTGTCAAAGTATAAATATAGTATCACCTTTAGGGTTTAAATTCTACAGGTGAGATTATTCAAGAGCCCATTTCCATAAATATATACATGCTAATGTGAGAAATGCTTTTGAGTTATTTTTATGCATATCATAATTTTATTCATTTTTACTGTGAAATAGATCATATATGTACAGTTAAAAATATTGCTAATTTTTCAAAAGAATGTATATATTGTTACATGAATATACCACATTTTATCAGTTCTACTGTCCCATTTTGCTATTGTTAGGCAATTTTCATTTTTGCTTTTAGATTTGCTTTATAAAATTTAGGGGGGTGGTGTTTCATTGTTTTGCTTTTTTTTTAGACAGGGAGTCACTCTGTTGCCCAGGCTGGAGTGCAATGGAGCAATCACAGCTCACTGCAGCCTCTGCCTCTCCAAGCTCAAGCACTTCTTCCACCTCAGCCTCTGGAGTAGCTGGGACTGCAGGCCTGCACCACCACACCCAGCTAATTTTTGTTGTTGTTGTTTTTCTTCGTATTTTGTAGAGACAGAGTTTTGCCACGTTGTTCAGGTTGGTCTGAGGTGATCCATCCACCTCAGCCTCCCAAAGTGCCAGGATTACAGGCATGAGCCACCATGCCCAGCCTAAAATTTAGTTTTTAAAATATTCTTAACATACCTAGTTTTTCCAGTGAATTTTGCATTCCTTGTGTGTGCTTTTGTAACTTTATTTACCCATCTGTATAGTAAACTTCGGGAAACACCAGCTCTAACCACCATGTTTAACAGCATAAGCTGGTTGTTAAATTTTACTGATGTATATAAACCCAAAATAGATCATTTCTTCACATAGAAACAGCCTTTGGTTCCGCTAGTATTCATTACTCATTTTAGTAATTTAAAGACCACATGACCCAAATTCTTCTTGAATGCTGTGCAGTGCACTGAAAGAGACTAATAAGCCCTTTTCTGTTTTCTAAGCAAATTTACTTCTTGGGATATTTCTGTTCATACGGTTTCCTATGACACATAGCATCACTAAGAGTCAAATAAGTGAAACTGAAAAGATTAAAATTAATCCTGTAATCCAGTTTTAATAATGAGTTCATTTCATTATGTTTCTTTTTCCTTTCCATTTGTTTTATACTGGCCTGGAGAAAACAGGCTTGATGGATAAAATCCACAGTATTTTCTTCCTAACTAGCTTATATATTTAGAATGGCCTGAATATGTACAGCTGCAGACACTAACTTCATTCCTACAGTATAATATCTACCAATGATTGAAACTAGTCAGCTGCACGTTTTATTTATTTATTAAAAAGGATTTGGATTTTTATACAATATTTAAAAACCACAAAATGAAAAGGGATCAATCAACGTATATCTTGGAGGTCCTTCCAAGAGTCTCAGTATCTAACAGCCATGGAGGCTGTGACCTTTTTCCTTCTTTTCTCAGCCTGCTTGTCATTTAAGGGTCACCAGAGATGACTCATGCTCTAGTTCTTAAAATCAAACTTGTTCCACCAAATCCAAGATGCTGAATTTGTACAAATGTAAAAACATCCTCTTGCCACCTGTCCACCAAAATACCTTCTATTCAAGTGAACAACAGCTTTAATTGCTGACTCAACTCTCAAATTCTAAAAAGGTCTGTGCTTCATCATCAGGGACACCAAGAATTTCACATATCACACATTTTCTAACTTTGCCATATTTTTCATGGCAAAATTGGGAAATACCATGGACTTTATCCATCAAGCCTGTTTTCTCTGAGCCAATATAAATTGACAATGGAAAAGAAAAAGAAACATAACAGAATGAACTCATTATGAAAACTAGATTAACTATACTCTTTTCAGTTTCACTTATTTTATCCTTAATGATGCTATGTCTCATAGGAAACCATATCAACTGAAAAATATGTCATCACACATTCTTCTCTGGTTTCAACTTCCAAGTCTTCTTCCACCTCCCCTTCACCAACCATGTTCCTTAGTAGGACCACCTTAGTAGGACTCAAGTATTTCAGTCAGTGGATTTGTACCTGATCTTTCAATGCATCTTTCTCTGCGGCGTCGCCCACGATGATCTTGCCGCCTGATTTGCTAGTCTTCCCCACCGGAAAGGCGTCTCGAAGCCCCTGCAGGTGCTCCCCGAGGCCCCAGCCTTCCCGGAAGCTGCGCTTCTGCATGATGTTGTGCACCACCGTTCCCACCACGTTAGCGAGGAAGGAGCTGCTAGGACGGTTTGGAGATCTCAGTCTGTCCTGTTCCTCCTTCACTGGGGGAGGAATGGCTGCTTTGGAAGACCGTGACTGAGGTCTTGAATCCTCTTCATAAGGAAAATCTCGGGGTGACTCTTGGTCTTTCTCTACCAGAGAAGTGGGAGGGGCAATGGCAGCTCCACCCTACTACTTTTCCTCCTCTCTCCCTCCTAATCTTCCCCTTCATCAGAATCTGGATTTGGTCGCCTTGATCAGAACTCCCCTAATTTCTTGCCTGTCTTCAGGCCTCTTTTCCCTTTCTTCTATTTCCTTTCATATTTCTAGCTCCTGCTGTGTCTGTCGTTCCTCTCTTTGGCACTTCACTACTTTCTCATAATCATAAGGGAACATAGGATCATATTCGTCAGCTAAGGGAATCAGAACGTCCCCTGCAAAAACCCACTGGGAGCAGGATCCTTCAGCCCACCTGCTGCATGCCGTGGTGTGTCCCCAATTTGCAGGTCATCTGAGGAGCCGCCTGGCCTTAGGTCAATGACTGGCAAGAGCTGCACTGTTTCTAACTTTGGCTCTTTCCCTGAGTGAGAGCTGCCTTCCTCACCTGAAGCTGAGACTGCAGAAGTTTGACGTTTTGGAACCAGCCTTATGCTTTTGAGTCACTGGTCTCCACTCTCAGGCCATCGTATGGGGGCATCTTTTTTTTTTTTTTTCAATTTAATGTTGCCCTGCTGACTCTACCCATGGGTAGCCAGGTTAATATGAAAAAATGAAGAAGAAGAAAAACCCACCAATTTCCTGATGCCAGATAAATGGAAAATGTTATTTGCACCAAAGAAACCTTGAGAGACTTGGAACAAATCACTGGTGGATGTGGGTTTCTGGATCTCACTAGATTTATTTTAATAGAAAGTTTAGGCCAGACGCGGTGGCTCTCACCTGTAATCCCAGCACTTTGAGAGGCTGAGGTGGGTGGATCATCTGAGGTTAGTAATTCAAGACCAGCCTGGCCAACATGGTGCAACCTTGTCTCTACTAAAAATACAAAGATTAGCTGGGCATGGTGGCGGGAGCCTGTAGTCCCAGCTACTGGGTAGGCTGAGGCAGGAGAATTGCTTGAACCTGGAAGGCAAAGGTTGCAGTGAACCGAGATGGTGCCACTGCACTCCAGCCTGGCAACAGAGCGAGACTCTGTCAAGAAAGAGAGAGAGAGAGAAAGAAAGAGAAAGTCTAATTTGCAGATGCAGACCTATCTTCTATACTGTCATTTGTCCATTCTTTTTTTTCTGGTCTGTGATTTCATCTTTTTGAAGAAGTGTTTTTCAAGCAGCACTCTGTACGGTTGCAGGTTGTGCATATAGCCTGCATTTTTTTGCATTCATGCCTGAAATAGAGATTGACTGAAGGTCAAATTCTTTTAAACTTACCTTTATGGAATCTTTCTGCTATTCAATGCCATGCCTCCTTCCATGATATTGAGAATACAAAATTGACTGTTGTGTCGCCAGTCCTCACATCCTTCTTGTAGGAATCTGCTAGACCAAGAACTTGTGGCAACACTGCATTGAAGTCTGTCACTGCAATAACACACAGTGACAATTTTCTTGCCAACCTCATATGCTTACACAAGTGAAAATAACCGGGCTAAAATTTTCATGGGTCTTAATATCTTTATTTGTTTGATTTCATATCCATGCAGTACTTTATGATTAGAATTTGTCCTGAAAGTTTCATAACTTTTTGCGGGACACCTGGATTTATTTTAGTTTTTTTTTTTCTAACAGAGTTATCGAATTCATTTTCTTTTAAGAATAACCTGGCTGGGTGCTGTGGCTTATGCCTGTAATCCCAGCATTTTGGGAGGCTGAGGCAGGTGGATCACGAGGTCAGGAGATCAAAACCATCCTGGCTAATATGGTGAAACCCCGTCTCTACTGAAAAAAAATACAAAAAAAGAAATTAGCAGGGCATGATGGTGCGTGTCTGTAGTCCCAGCCACTCGGGAGGCTGAGGCAGGAGAATGCTGTGAACCTGGGTGGTGGAGCTTGCAGTGAGCAGAGATCACACCACTGCACTGCAGCCTGGGTGACAGCACGAGACTCAGGTCTCAAAAAAAAAAAAAAAAAGATAACCTAAGTTATGTGTCAGGAAACACCACATGGTGAAAGAAAGATTAGCAGAACTGTTGATATTCCTATAATTCATTACTGGAAAATATTTATTGAATTAATAATCCTCTTAATTCTTAACTTAATGTGTTTATTTCTTAATGATTAGTGAGATGCAGTAGAATTATACAAAGTTCACTCTCTATCCCATTCTTCAGAAGGTTCTGCTGTACCATTTAAACTTTTATTTCTTTTGTAAATATAAAAATATAAAAGATTTTAGTCTTCAAACTTTTAAACAAATATGGTGTTAAATGTTAAACTTCCAAGTGTCTGTGAGGTTATGTATGGTTTCGATAAGCTAAAAAGAAGCCTTAATATGAGGGAGGCTTTTACTTTAGGGATCTAAAGCAGAAAGTATTAAAGTTAAAGAGATAAAGCTTCAGTTATTAAAATAGAAATCTAAACACAACATTTAATTTTTATGGAACTTTTAGGGAGGAAATAAGAGTACAGGCATTGAGAGGTGCTTCATTTATTCCAGTAAGAGGAATCTTCATTGACTATTTTTTGAAATTGTGCTAGTGATTAACAATATAAGGTCAAAGAGAGGTCAATGAAAAACACATAAGTACAAATTCTATACTTCATTTTTTTCATTTTAATGAACACTGTAAAGAAAACTCAATCCTCTAGTGATAAATATTGATGTATATTTACTATAATCTTTGGAGAAAAGGGTATTTGCATGGACTGAAAGTGTCATGCCAAATATTAGGTTTAATACCTAATATTTGAATGATTGGGAAAAGAAAATAAGAAATTATATCTCACAAGTTTGAAAGAGACAATACTTACAGAATCAATATAAGCAGGCTTCTTTTTTAAAATAAGGCAAAGGATAAAATTTTTAAAAGCTATATAATTTCATAATATACAATTAAATTAATTACTAATTCAATTTCTCTTGTCATTGGCATTACACCATTATGAAATGAGGTTCCTCTTTCATATTTGTATGTTAAAATTAAGTATTCATTTAGATCAGAGGTAGGCAAATCACGGTCCATGGCATATTATATAAGCCCAAATGAATAATTGCTTTGTATTTTTATTTTTATTTTTATTTTATTTGAGATGAAGTCTCGCTCTGTTGCCCAGGCTGGAGTGCAGTGGCACCATCTCGGCTCACTGCAAGCTCCGCCTGCTGGGTTCACGCCATTCTCCTGCCTCAGCTTCCCGAGTAACTGGGACTACAGGCACCCGCCACCACGCCCAGCTAATTTTTTTTTGTATTTTTAGTAGAGACGGGGTTTCACCGAATTAGCCAGGATGGTCTCGATCTCCTGACCTCATGATCCGCCCGCCTTGGCCTCCCAAAGTGCTGGGTTTACAGGCGTGAGCCACCGCGCCCAGCCCTGCTTTGTATTTTTAAAGGGTTATAACAAGAAGGACATGCAACAGAGACCAGGTGTGACCCACAAAACCAAAAGTGTTTACTATCTGCGTTTTACAGAAAACCTTTGCAGACTCCTGACGTAGACAAATGCCTTATGATTTTATTCTGAATTAATATGACTCTTTCTACAAACAGTTGTCTTTAAATAATAAGATTTTACAATTATTGTGTTTTCTTTAACTAGAGTGTGTACTTTCATCCTTTTCCTTACTTTTCAAACTTAGAGTTCCATTATTAGGTTATATATTGTAACTCAAGAGGGTGGGAGTAAGTTCAAGACACTACTTTCCTATATGCTTGGACTGGTGTGGAGTAATACTGCTTACGTCAAAGTCAGGCACTCACCACTGCTTCTTATAAGTACTGTTCTTGTTTCACAAAACAAGCCCACATAGTAAAGGGAAGTGATGTCATAAGCATTGCCATTTGTAATTTAGGTGAAATTAGCTGACGATTGTAGTGAAATTTTTAATATTTAACTTCTAATATTGGAAATAATCAAATGTCTATTTTATCTCTTTCTATTCCTAGAACATTCTGGACTGCAAATTTTTATCCTTATATACCCTAACAGTGTGTTATGTCCTGTTACTTTTTGTGTTGTTGTTAACATTAGAATTTAATCTTTAGTTATATATTTGACTAAAGTACCTAATACCAAAGAAAGTGTTACTAGAAAAGCAAATCTAGGTATTTCCACCCAGTCAGTATAAAAAAATACGTTTTTAAATACTCCCAAATATACAGACATCGCAACGCACAAAAACAGCTATAGGGTAGATATTTAACATATTTTAGATAAATGGTAGTACACAATTATATTTTCAGGTAGCATTTTTCACACTTCACAGCATATCCTAAATAAAATTTGGGCTATGATTTCATTTATTTTAATTTAACCTCCACTTTAATTTTTTTCACTTATACTACATAATGCTAAAATGCATGCTTATTTCTTAGATGAGATTTCACAAAAGAAGCCAAACCTCTTTTCACTTGGTTGGGAAATAATTCCTGTTATAGGAATTTTAGATCTGAATTTTCCCCCGCAATTTCTTATTCTGAATTCCAGGTATTATCTTAAATTTGATCAGTTCTAACCTTGCCCCTTCTCACCTCTCTAATGAATGGTGAAGCTCATCGCATCATACCGATGTCCATAAACAAGCGGGAGCAGCAGTCTTCATATAGTAAATACTGTGGAATAGTTTTGTCATAGTTGTTGCTTTTGTCCTATTTTTGTCTTCATATTCAGGCTGCCTGGGCAACAGCTCTGGCTCTGGATGTAAAAGCCCCCTGGGAGGGTTTCAGGGCTGCCTAAGGCTCATCACCATTGGTGACAAAGCGGTGGATCCCATCTTAGTACAGCAGGGGGCGCTGGGGAGTTTCAGGGACCTCCAGATAGACTCCTGCGGCATCACAGACAGGTAAGGGCCATCCTAGGTCACTTTAGCTTGCCTGTTTTCAAAGTTGAAGAAAGCAAATGTAGACAGCTGGAAAAAGGCATTCCGTTCTCTTTTTTGTTGTTGTTATCTTTCGAGAGGGAATGAAATAGTCATAATTACTATGAGGATTAGAAAACTTCATCTTGGCCGGGCGTGGTGGCTCACACCTGTAATGCGGCTGAGGCTGGCGGATCACGAGATCAGGAGATCAACTTCATCCTGGCTAACATGGTGAAACCCCGTCTCTACTAAAAATACAGAAAAAAAAAATTAGCCAGGCGTGGTGGCAGGCGCCTGTAGTCCCAGCTACTGGGGAGGCTGAGGCAGGAGAATGGCATGAACCCGGGAGGTGGAGCTTGCAGTGAGCAGAGATCGCGCCACTGCACTCCAGCCTGGGTGACAGAGCGAGACTCCGTCTCAAAACAAAAGCAAAAACTGCATCTCTAATGGAATAAATAGCATTTTTTAAATGATAGTATTTTATTAGAAGATATACACCTTATGAATTTTACCTTAATATGATCCCGAGTTGCTCAGCTAATAGTTATAAAGCTCGCTTTTGCAACCACACACCCATCAGTTGGATGATATTTTTCCAGGCAGAGGAATTTGCCAGGTTACTATTCATCAGCCACCCAACCCCACATGTTCTGCAGAGAAAATAAAAAGTAATTTCTGCTAGAAAAGTTTGAATCATAAAGACGGATGAAGATGTGTGCAGAAGGACATACTCAATGAAATATGGAGGTTAGACAAGAAAAACATTTAATTCAAATAAGTATTACAACCACAGTTATGCTAGTTGTGCCATAATTTTACAAAGATTTTGGCTGAGAAGAATCATAGGGTCACACCTGGAAAAATAATATTTCTACATACAATTTGCCCCAGTACATTTGGTATTTACTTTCAGTGAATAAATAAATGCTACAGATTTAAAAATTAAAAAGCGATAATCTGGCCCAGCGCGGTGGCTCACGCCTGTAATCCCAGCACTTTGGGAGGCCGAGGCGGGCGGATCACGAGGTCAGGAGATCGAGACCATCCTGGCTAACATGGTGAAACCCCGTCTCTACTAAAAATGCAAAAAATTAGCCAGGCATGGTGGCGGGCGCCTGTAGTTCCAGCTACTCGGCACGCTGAGGCAGGAGAATGGCGTGAACCCGGGAGGCGGAGCTTGCAGTGAATGAGATCGTGCCACTGCACTCCAGCCTGGGCAACAGAGCCAGACTCTTCTCAAAAAAAAAAAAAAAAAAAAGTTATATCTGCATCTGGTAGAACTTTCAAAACCTGCCTTCTTCATGGAGTAAATTCAGTTAGTCAATTCTGTTTTAAACATTAACTGTAAAATTATCCTCTCTGGCTAAACAGGTTTTAATTTATAACTCACAGTTAGTGACATACTAAAAAAACGCAATTACTACTAAATGAAAAGTTCATTCATATGGACTTTATTTATTCAGCATGGAATAATTTCCCCCTGTGAACATTCTGTTGATTTGTAGGAAAAATGAATTAATTCAAAGATGAGGAGTATATGAAGTGTAAGAATTTGTCAAGTACCTCTCATTCTTGACCTTGAGATTTGAATTCTTGGCACACAGCTGGGACTGCATTTACATCTCAACACCAGCTCCAGAACCCCACTCTGTAGTCGTGGGAAGGGTAGTTGGGAAGGTTTCTGGCCATTTGCTCACTTAATATAATCCCAAGTTGCTCAGCTAACTAGCCAGGGAGCTCAGCTCTCTCTGAGTTAAGGGGTAATGTCCCATGGGCCCACACTGTGAGTGACAACAGCTGTCAGCTCAACTGTGATGCAAGTGTGATTTTCTTCACTTGTATGACATTATTTTGATACCTTGTTAATTACTCACAAAATATGATCCATTTGCAGTGTTTCTGTTATGAGATATATATTGTGAGGCTGCCTCTTTTCAGAGATGATCCATGTTGCCTGCTTTGTGCATGTAGCTCCCAAAGTACAAAACTATTGTTTTTACTGTTATAGGCTGTTTTGTTTTAACCTTAAAGTCCCAAGAGTTACATTGGTGCCTAACTTGGTATCTAAGATCCCACATTTTAAAAAGCCCTCCAAATTGTACCCCAAAGTTACTTGTAAACATGCTCAACTAAGCATGTATGTGTGAGCCACACTTAAACTTCAGCCATGATGTGTACAATAATCATTGCAGATAAGGATTTTAAGAAAGCACTTTTAAATCATTTTCAAATAGGGCTACAAATAAAGGCTATTTACTATTTCATTCCCAAATTCAGTAACGTAGAAGACTAGCTCCTCTGAGATTATTTTGAAAACCTGAATTTTATAAAGCAATAAAATTAGAAAACTTTGGGGACACAAAATGACATCCTACAGAGTTAAAATTAAAGACCTTTGCTGTTCCCTTTACATAAAGTTTTCAAAACCTGAAAATACTGAAAATTCACTTTTAAGTATCCTGAAAACAGGCCTGTAAGCATCTATCAGCCTTTCTTTGTTGTTGTTAACAAACAAACAAACAAACAAACAAAAATCTAATTGTATTAGTCTGTTCTCATGCTGCTAATAAAGATATACCCAAGACTGGGTAATTATAAAGAAAAAAGGCTTAATGGATTCACAGTTCCACATGGCTGGGGAGGCCTCACAATGATAGCAGAAGGTGAAGGAGAAACAAGACACGTCTTATATGGCAGCACGCAAGAGAACCTGTGCAGGGAAACTCCCCTTTATAAAACCATCAGATCTCGTGAGACTTATTCACTATCATGAGAAAAGCCTGAGAAAGATCTGCCCGCATGATTCAGTTACCTCCCACAGGTTCCCTCCCATGACACGGTGGGAATTATGAGAACTACAATTTAAGATGAGATTTGGGTGGGGACACAGCCAAACCATATCACTAACTCACAAAGTAGAAACATATGTTACTCAAATACCAGACCTAAAAATCCTACTTAGGGACAGATAAGGGGTATGAAGTTATCTTTTTTAGTCAAAATTTTAAGCTACGCAAAAAATAGCAATGGGCACTTTGGATGACAGAGTCACAAATAATGGATGTTTATGTTTGGATAGGTGTTTGTTTGTTTGTTTTTTTGAGACAGAGTCTCGCTCTATCGCCCAGGCTGGAGTGCAGTGGCACGATCTCGGCTCACTGCAAGCTCCGCCTCCTGGGTTCATGCCAATCTCGTGCCTCGGCCTCCCGAGTAGCTGGAACTACAGGCGCCCGCCACCACACCTGGCTAATTTTTTGTATTTTTAGTAAAGACGGGGTTTCACCGTGTTAGCCAGGATGGTCTCGATCTCCTGACCTCGTGATCCACCCGCGTCAGCCTCCCAAAGTGCTGGGATTACAGGCGTGAGCCACCACACCCGGCCAGGATAGGTTTTAACTTCTTAATCACCTCTTACATCAAATTCCTATACTGTTTTAAGGTTTGCCCTGTATACCACATGGCAGAGCTTCCAGTGGAGTCCTGTGCTGCGTTCCAACTGGGGCTCCCTGAGCAGGGAGGCCTCCGTCACCTCCTCACCTGGCTGTGCTGACCAGGCTTCTGACCCCACTCCTGCCCTCCCTCTGCCATCTTCCCCTCTGTTGGTCTTCTGCATGCTAGCTACTTCCTCTATTATTTGTAATACATGTAAATTTTTCACAATTGATGTTGTGTTTAGTTGAAGAAAAATAGTGTATACATGTTGATAGTCTCTAGATCACTTAAATAGTTCTTATTTCCAAATATTTTGAACTAAAGTTATTCTCTCCCTGTTGATATCAAACAGCAGTGGTTTTTAATGTTTTTTAAAATTTGTGGAATCTTCAAGTCAGGTATGATCTTAAGATGCTCCATTATATTAAGAAGGAAGGGGAGGAGAGGGAGAAGGATGTGGGGGAAGAGGAACAGCTGCTCTTTTAAAAATGGTATGAGGGTGGGCCCCCACCCCAGCCAACCTTGCCTGTCGCTCCAGCTCCCCCTCTTCTGATCAGTTCACACAGGCTTTTCCATGCCTTGGCCTTTGAAATACTTGAAAAGTTGTGATTCTCATGGCCCCTAACTCTTCTCTGAATGCAGACTAAATGCTCATTAACACCATGTAATTATGGAAGTCTTGGCCCTGAGCTGGTGGTGCAGTGCTGGAGAGCCAGGATAGGGGGCTGGGGGCATGGGGAGGGTAGGGAATGCTGCGGATTCTTCCCAGCCCCTCAGGTTCCCCTCAAAGGATCTCTCCCGAGGCCAAATACAGGCCCCTGGGGCTTTCTGTCAACTTCATACCCCAGTTCTCTGCTGGTCGTCCTTCCACCACAGCCAGGAGGCCTGTCACAACCTCCCGGCCCCTCTTCTGTTACTTCTCTGGGTCCCATGGTGAGGGGCACTGGGGTGCTCCCCGCCTCTGCCGCTCCAGCATGGACTATGATGTCCCTCACGGCCTGGAAGGTCAGTGTCCTTTAGAATCTTCACTCTTTACCAGGTCCTTAGCTGTGTACTCAGCAGTGGGAGACAGCGGCCAGAGGCTGAGATCCAACCCTGCTCAAGGCAGAGGTGGGTCATGGTATTCAGGCCAGGCCTCCAGAAGGTCACACTACCTCTTGGTGACACTCTGTGTCAGGTGCTGGTCAGTTTCCATAGTGTACCCTGCTCCCTGTTCCCCTAACAATCCTGAGAGGCAGGCATGCTAGGCCCCCAATATTATAGTGGGCGGCAGCAGATTCCAAGAATTCTGAAAGTGTGAGACCTCCAACTGTTCTTTTTCAACATTGGCTGGTTCAGGGTCCCTTGAGGTTCCCTATGAATTTTAGGATGGATTTTTGTTTTCTGCAAAAAAAGGCATTGGGATTTTAATAAGAATTGTATTGAATTTGTAGATTGCTTTGGGTCATATTGACATATTACCAGTGTTAAGATTGCTTAAAAAGCAATAACCGACTGCTTATTGCAAATCTAAAAGGTGACAAGATGACCTAAATTAAATGTTCTTCAAAATTTCTGAACCTCTGTCACTATGTGACTGAAGCTGTTCCTGTTTCTTTCTTCTCCCCTCTGTATCTTCCTCCCTGTTTCCCCTTCTTTCTTTTAAAAATGACCACAATATAGTAACGGAGCATGCCATATTTCATAGTTTTATGTATGTAATTGGTTTTGCTAGCCACATGTCAAGTTATTGTGTCACTTGGGACAAAGAAAAAAAGAAATGTGTTGAAAATTCAGCTGTCTCAGAAACCTAATAATCAGCTGCATGCTAATGGATATATTTATCTAAAGTTTGTCAATATAATTAGAGAACCTTGATGGCAGACCCAGTAATCACGTCATGTGGGGTTATCTTGCGTATGCTGCTCTTTCACATTAACCTGTTTTTGGTTAACCTGTTTTTGGTAAGACACTTATTTTTTGATGATTGAAAAAGGGAAACAGCAGTTGTATCTGTTTTCTTTTAGGTGCTTGCCCAGCTACTGTGAGCATGGGGGCGAGTGTTCCCAGTCGTGGGACACCTTCTCCTGTGATTGTCTGGGCACAGGCTATACGGGCGAGACCTGCCATTCCTGTAAGCCTCACACCTCCCTCTCGTTTCTGTCAGCATCTCTTTGTCATTTCATTTTGATTAGTTGTTTATATGTATCTGCATATTTGCAATCATGCAAACACATCAGAAGAGATATTTCAGCATTCAATTTCTAGTTTACTTTTAATCCACCTTATTTAATACAAGGGTGTTGAGACAGTGCACAGAAATACGTGGTACACATAGGATTGAAAAAAGAAACTGGCAAGCAATGGGGAAATAAGTCTAGGAGAATCAGATATAGTAAAAGGTAGAAACTAAATTAAATTAAAAATGCATGATGTTAACAGCTTGTTCCATTACTTGAGTTGGACCATAATTTTAATTCTGAGAATCTTCTCAGTCAAAGAAAGGTGGAAAAACAACCCCTTGCCAGGCTGTCAATGTTGCATTTAAGGTATTTAAAGATTTTTTAACAATCACTGGGATGATGCAATCATGGGATTGTACATGGCAAGATTTTTGAAGAGGTAATGGGATATCAGCTAGAAACTAGAGGACCTTTAAGATCTCTTACAATGACTGTGATTTTCTTTGGTGGTGGTGATGATGATTGTAAAGTGAATAATTGTAAAAGTATTAATGTATTGAGTACTTATGTCAGCCCTCTGCTATTGCTTTGCATATATTAACTCATTTAACCCTAAAGCAGCTGGAAGAAAGTACTATTATCTTCATTGCAGAGTTGAGGACAGAAAGAGGTTAAGTAACTTGGCCCCCAGCTAGTTTGTGGGAAGATGAGGAGTTGAGCTAAGGAGGTTGGCTCCACAGCCTTGGCTCCAGGATGCCTGATTGGTGGTCCATGCACCAGCAGCACCCACAGCCCCTGGGAACCTGTTGCAAGTAAAGACTCTCAGGCCTTACCCAAACCTACTAAATCAGAATCGCTGGAGATGGGGCCCCGAGTCTCTTGTAACCAACCTTCCTCATGCTTCTGGTAGACATTTAAGTGTAAGAACAATGTCTAAGGGATGGCATATTCTAACACTTCTCAACTGCCTCTGCCATATTAAAAATCATCTGTCTTTACTGAAGAATCACCCTCTGTGAATTTCAAAGGCCATGCCGTTTTATTGACCTCTAACCTGTTATAATTAGAACATCACAGAATCTGAAAAGCCTTTTTTTTCTTATTTGTTTTTAACTTTTAGAGTTTTCTTTCTGTATATCTCTACTGACGTTTCTGAGCAACTTCTCCTCAGGAATATTTCGCCCATCCCTGGGTCTTCAAGGAAACAGAGATGCAAAGTCCTCAGTTCCACTTGCTCATCCTGAGTTCCTAATTGAAACTTTTAAGAACTCTTCCGTGAGACATTTGATTTTCACAAAAGCCACAGGAGAAAGGCAGGCTGTGGAGTGTTAAAACCACACTTCATACTTGCAATGAGAATTCTGCGCTCCCAGTCCTGAGGTTCTGTAAAGGATCTGGGCAAAAGAGGAGACAGTCCAGGAGTGACTCTCACAGATTGAAGCATGAAGTATGATTTTTGTACTAGAAGGGTCCCTGTTTATAAAGCTGTGACACATTTTCTTTTTTTTGTTTGTTTGTTTTTTGTTTTTTGAGATGGAGTCTTGCTCTGTCGCCCAGGCTGGAGCCCAGTGGCATGATCTCAGCTCACTGCAAGTTCCGCCTCCCAGGTTCACGCCATTCTCCTGCCTCAGCCTCCCGAGTACCTGGGACTACAGGCGCCCGCCACCACGCCCGGCTAATTTTTTGTATTTTTAGTAGAGATGGGGTTTTGCCATGTTAGCCGGGATGGTCTCGATCTCCTGACCTTGTGATCCACCTGCCTTGGACTCCCGAAGTGCTGGGATTACAGGCATGAGCCACCATGCCCAGCCGCTGTGACACATTTTCTAGGAGTTGAGTGGCCTCTCACACCAGAGGCTGAATGTCTTGATAAGGTCATAGAGTTGGTGCAGGGACCACATCTTTTACTTCTGTGTATCTTTCATCCTCCAGGCATAGTATCTTACCTAAAAGCAGAAGCCTAATCTTGTGTGTTACCTGGAAAATTTATATCTGCCACCACACTCAGCATTGTCTGATTGCATTTAATATTGCAATTAATCAATGAGTTATATTAGTCCATGGTTATTCACTGCAATCAAAATATAACTCCAAAAACTTCTGAGGGAAAATATCAGGAGATTGAAAAAGTATTTCAAGTGTCAGTCTCATCTAATAATTGATGGCTATAGGTAGAAATTTGCCAAGCCCACAGTCATTCACTGTGAGACTAGACTGCCACACCTAGTTGAATAGGTTATTTTGTATTTCTAATTGTATAACATGTATCAATTATGTGCAACTAATTAATTGTATATAATTATTAATTGTATATAACTCATTGTATATAATTAATTATACAATTAAAATCAATTGTATTCAATTAATATATACTATACATTAATACATGTATACATTATCATTTAAAAAGCCAAACAGTTCACATAAAGCACAAGTTCTAGTCACTTTCCTCAATATTTGTCTCCATTCCAAACCTAGTCTGTGCCCTATATTTAAGTATTGTTATTAATTTGAGTGAATCCCACCAGACATATACAAATATATGTATCTATTTAAATCAATATGCCATAAGTGGCAAAAAAATAAAGATTAGCAATGTCCATCTCCTGCAGATATTAATTCCATACCTTGTACTTGGTAAAACATTTACTTGCACAAATGAAAATACTCAATTATGCTAGAGTAAATTTACATTATATAGGGATGTCTTTCAAAAAAGTTTCTCTCCTGTTTTGAATTTCGGCTGTCTTGAATTGTCACTTGCAAAATACTTAGGGATGTTTCTTTTTTAAATCAGCTTTAATTATTTTTTAATGACGAGAAGTTGATAGCTTATAAATTCCATTTATCTCTTTAAAATGCTCATTCATATTGTTTTAAAGGAAGCAAAGGGTATAACTGCCGCATAGCTTAAGAAAAACTTTACAGAATGCTTATGGGAAAATACCAGATTATTTAGGCATTTTAATGTGCTTAGGTATTCAGTTATTACAGGGAGAATGAGGGTTTCTTCCTTAATTATAGAGTTTAATTCTGAGGTATAGTTGCCATGAGTTTGGAAAGAACCATGCTTCAATAGCACGCAGAATTCAGATTCACAAAGTTTTCCTCTCGTATCTCTTCAAGTGTTTTACACTGTGCTTCAGAGTTTGCATGCTTTCTTGCCTAAAAGCAAAAGAAAACATTTATGTAGAGAAAGTACAGTCTCTAGACATTGCCAAAAGATTGTCTATTGAAGATAGTATCGCATTCCCACTGTAAGCACATCTTCATGTTTGAACACCAACACAATCTTTCCTTCTTCCTCAAAATAGAAATACACTGTGACCGAATATTTATTCAGCATCTAACAACATCCAACCTTTGAATGTATTTTGACTAGGTAATTTTTTTCTCCTTTGTTAATAAAAATAGATTTAATTTTTTAAATGTCATTTTTTTTGCATCTCATCAAATATACTGTCATACACTATAAAAATGATGTTGGGTCATATGTATCACATGTCTGTAATTCAGAAATGCAAACCTTTGGACACTGACTCAACATCTGGAGATATTTTTTCTGGTTCTTTTGGCTGGTGTTCTCCTACAGCTCTCTACGAGCAGTCTTGTGAAGCCCACAAGCACCGAGGGAACCCATCCGGGCTTTACTATATTGATGCAGATGGAAGTGGCCCCCTGGGACCATTTCTTGTGTACTGCAATATGACAGGTATGTTGATAATCGTTAGATGCATAGATCAGAATAGACCAAGGAGAAATTTACCTAGTTGGCAGCATTATTAAAACATGCAGTTTGATAGTGTGTACTTGCTAAGTAGAAGCATTAAATATGTATTTATTAATTTTGTTGTCAACAAAATTTTCTTGTATTTCTTCTTTGCCTGGATTGGATTATAGGCAAGATTCAATGCTCTGCCAAGGCATCTCTCTAGCTCCTACACTCCTCATAATACATCTGTTCATGTGCATCATGATAAAATACAAACCTCTGATTCGGTGATTTACATGCTTTCTGTATTTAGAAAAAACAGAGGTGTTTAAAAATGCTAAGAAATAACATAGATATGTTAATGTTCTATGTGCATCTTAAATAATTTAGTGATTTTTATGTCATATAATTTTTTCATAACCAAAGAAACTTGATTATTTCTCGTGCTTTAGATATTAGAAATGAACACTGCTTGGGCTGCGCATGGTGGCTCACGCCTGTAATCTCAGCACTTTGGGAGGCCAAGGCGGACAGATCACGAGATCGAGAGATCGAGACCATCCTGGCCAACGTGGTGAAACCCCATCTCTACTAAAAATACAAAAATTAGCTGGGCGTGGTGGCGCCCGCACCTGTAGTCCCAGCTACTTGGGAGGCTGAGGCAGGAGAATCCCTTGAACCAGAGAGGCAGAGGTTGCAGTGAGCCAAGATTGCGCCATTGCACTCCAGCCTGGCGACAGAGCAAGACTGCATCTCAAAAAAAAAAAAAAAAAGGAAAAAAAGAAATGAACACAGCTTGATTATAGAAGATTGCACTAGAACGCCTTTTAAATAGTTACATTTTTACAGAAATTTGTTGTCACCTAGCTCTTCCAACTCTCTGCAAAGTGGAAATCTGGAATAAACTGTTCTCATTTATTGTGCTGACAAAAGGTTTCAAAAGTTTCATAAATTTGGACAATAACCAAATGGGTCAGCAAGCATCAAGGAAAAAGAAAAAAATAACTGAAATTACATGGGCATTTAAAGTGCCTTAGCAAAGATTGTCAAAAAATAGTAAAACTTTACAGGGGATGTTCAGAAGATTCAGAGCCACCTGCACAGCAATGTGCTGAAGATAAAGAAACACAAGCGTTCTGCCATAAGATACCAATTACCTCCAAAATCCCGACTCAAACAATGAAAGCAAAGTGAGAAATCCCATAAAAATGGTCTTGGTGGATATCAAAAGACTCAACCAAAGTCACAACCAGGAAGGACCTTGGTTGTCATCATTTTAAGATGAGGAAACCAAGGCTCAGAAAAGTTGGTTAGGGAAGTATCTACTGACAAAATCTAGCTAATGATAGGGGAATCACTAAACTCTGGTCTCTTTTCTGCCCTAGAAAATGTCACCTTCTCTTTAGATGCCGCATTGCTCTATAGCCAGTAATAAATTCTCTAGTTGTACAAATCAAGCAATAATGATTATAAAATGTGCAATTTCAAACTACTCTAATAGCTTGAAATGTATATATCGTAATAACCTTCAAAAAGCAGTTGCTTCAGAGCTTGGAAGTCAGCACTCTATCTTAAGAACAAGTAAAAAGCCAGGCAAACTGAAAAATTAACCAATTTTTTTAGATCCAGCAGAGAAGTGAGGTCACAGAACAAACCACTGCCCCTCAAAATTGGAGAGACAGGCAGGCTTATATACAGAATGACAGTTTTCTTCCACAAGCACTAACCTTTGGGGAAACCGTTGTCAAGGTAGGAAAACCTAAACTTAATTGACGAATTGTTGGATGTTCGATGTGGACACATCTGAGAGTTAAGAACTCCAGGAAGACCCAGACAGAGAAGGGTCCCCACACTTCTGTGAGTTTGACACCTAGCTTGACCGGGTTCTCACAGTGAATGTTGGAGAAAAATCTCCTCATGCTTCCAGAAAGGGAAGGTGAAAAGGAACCGTCTTGAAGTACACCAGAGCTTTCTGTTCTTCTTAACAAGGTCTTTCCTCAAGGGCAAATATTTCACCTAAGCTACTGGTGTTTTGTTTTGTTTTGTTTTGTTTTTTGTTTTCAGAGCCTAACCTGCCTGGAGGAAGGAAATTACCCACCTCTGGCCATCCTGTCCCATGTAAGGGTGGTGATGGGAGGGAGGGCTGAGAAGCTCTTGTGAAGGTCACAGCCCAGAGGCACAGGCTCCCTAAAGGACTCAGACCTAATCACAGGACTACAGAACCTTTCCCCTTCCCACACATGTTACTTATAGTACTGCAGGCCTCTTTACAGCAGTTACAGTTACTTTTACCTGGTACATCACATCTGGTTATCAAGAAAAAATTTCAGCTGGACCTATAATCCTATTACTTTGAGAAGCTGAGGAGGGAAGATAGCCTTAGACCAGTTTTGAGACCAGTCTGGGCAACACAGTGAGACCCCCACCTCTACAACAACAACAACAACAAAAACAACAACAAAACAGCATTGTGACAACAACAACAACAACAACAACAACAACAACAAAACAGCATGGTGACATGTATCTGTAGTCCCAGCTACTTGGGAGGCTGAGGTGGGAGGATCGCTTGAGCCTGGGAGTTGGAGACTGCAGTGAGCCATGGTCACACCACTGCACTCTAGCCTGGGCAACAGAGAAAGACCTTGTCTCCAAAAAAAGAAAAAGAAAAAAGTTCAAGGCAAAAAACACACTTTGAAGAGACAGAGCAAGCATTAAAAACAGACGGTGGCTCACGCCTGTAATCCCAGCACTGTGGGAGGCTGAGGCAGGCGGATCACGAGGTCAGGAGATCGAGACCATTCTGGCTAACACTGTGAAACCCTGTCTCTACTAAAAATACAAAAAAAATTAGCCGGGCGTAGTGGCGGGTGCCTGTAGTCCCAGCTACTCGGGAGGCTGAGAAGGAAGAATGGCATGAATCCGGGAGGCGGAGCTTGCAGTGAGCTGAGATCGTGCCACTGAACTCCCCCCTGGGTGACAGAGCGAGATTTTGTCTCAAAAAAACCAAAAAACAAAACTAACAAACAAAAACCAGAGTCAGATATGGCAGGGACATTGGAATTATCAGACCAGGACTTTAAACAACTATAATTAATATGGAAAAAGCTGTAATGGGTAAAGTAGATAGCATGCAAGACCAGATGAACAATGTAAGCAGCAAGATGGAAATTCTAAGAAGCAAAAAGGAGTGCTAGAGATCAAAAACAGCATAACAGAAATGAAGAATGCCTTTGATGGGCTTATTAGTAGACCAGGCACAGCTTTGGAAAGAATCCCTAAGCTTAGAGATACCTCAATAGAAACTTGCAAAACTGAAAAGCAAAGAGAAAAAAAGACTGAACCCCACCCCCTGCAAAAAGAAAACCCAGAACATAATATCTGAGTACAGTGGCACAACTACAAAAGGTGTAACATACGTGTAAAGAGAATTCTAGGAGAAGAAAGAAAGAAAGGAACAGAAGCATATTTGAAGAAATAATGACTGAGAATTCCCACAAATTAGTATCAGACACCAAACCACAAATCCAGGAAGTTTAGAGAACACCAAAGAAGGAGAAATGCCCCCAAAACTCTACCAGGCATATATTTTCAAACTATAGAATTCAAAGATAAAAGTAAACTCCTTTTTTTGAGATGGAGTTTTACTCTCGTTGCCCAGGCTGGAGTGCAATGGTACGATCTTGGCTCACCACAACTCCGCCTACTGGGTTCAGGTGATTCTCCTGCCTCAGCCTCCTGAGTAGCTGGGATTATGGGCATGTGACACCATGCCTGGCTAATTTTTGTATTTTTAGTACAGACAGGGTTTCTCCATGTTGGTCAGGCTGGTCTTCAACTCCCGAACTCAGGTGATCCACCCACCTCAGCCTCCCAAAGTGCTGGGATTACAGGCATGAGCCACCATGCCCAGGCCAGGTAAAAGTAAATTCTTAAAAATAATCAGAGGAAGAAAGCACCTTACCTACATAGGAGATAAGTATTACAGCATCTTCTCTTCAGAAATCATGCCAGCAAGAATGCAGTGAGATACTTAAAGTGTGAAAGAGAGAAAACAAAACAAAACAAAACCTTCTCCTTGAAAAGTGAAGAAATAAAGATTTTCTCAGACAAATGAAAGGGTCAGTTCTCTAAAAGAGATAACCTTAATATGTATGCTCCTGACAACAGAACACAGTGGATCTTATTTTCTTTTTTCTTCTGGGACATATAGGAATGGGTATACCAGATGCTGGGGATTTCATATGATATACTGAGTAAATTTTAAGTGCAGACAATCCCCGTTTACAATGGTTCTACTTACAATATTGCGACTTCCCTATGTGAAACCATATGCATCCCTATTTCAAGTACCCATACAACTATTATTTTATTATTATTATTATTATTATTATTATTATTATTATTATTTTGAGACAGAGGCTTGCTCTGTCACCCAGGCTGGAGTACAGTGGCACGATCTCGGCTCACTGCAACCTCCACCTCCCGGGTTCAAGTGATTCTTCTGCCTCGGCCTCCCCGGTAGCTGGGACTACAGGCATGTGCCACCACGCCCGGCTAATTTTTTGTATTTTTAGTAGAGATAGGGTTTTACCATGTTAGCCAGGATGGTCTCGATCTCCTGACCTCGTAATCCGCCTGCCTCGGCCTCCCAAAGTGCTGGGATTACAGGCGTGAGCCACCACGCCTGGCCACAACCATTATTATTATTTTTTTTTTTTACTCTCAGTACAGTAGTTAATAAATGACATGAGATATTCAACACTTTATTGTAAAATAGGCATTGTGTTAGATGATTTTGCCCAACTGTGGGCTGATTTAAGTGTTCTGAGCACATTTAAGTTAGGCTGGGTTGAGCTAGGTTCAGTAGGTCACATGTATTAAAATGCATTTTTAATTTATAATAAGTTCATCCGGATGCAACTTCATCATAAATTGAGGAACATCTGTACTGTTAATTCCAATCAAAATCATGAAGTTAAATTAGCTTAATTTTCAAAGTTGGATATTTATTTGAGCAACAGGAGTGGAACAGGTATCAACGTGTTACAGTTACCCTCCTTCTGGGCTGGTGAGACGGCCTCCAGTGTGTTCTGACTCAGCCACACCTCTGAACCCCTTTCCACATTTAGCCACTGTTATAATTAATCTACTCAGGTCCAATTCACTTGAGCCCAGGAGGTCGAGGCTGCAGTAAACTATGAAGGTGCCACTGCACTCCAAGCTGGGCAACAGAGGGAGACCCTATCTCTAATAAAAAAGAAAAAGAAAAATATAAGGGTTATATTAGATGCTCTTTAAGATCCTTTCCAGTTCCAATATGCTTATAATCAATTGAAATAAATTACGAGCAATTAGGGAAACCACAATGGTCTGTGTCCTTCTTTGGGTCTTTTACTACTGATATTATAAGGAGAAGTGAGTCAAGTGGAATTTTATAAACACAAATGCATATCCTATAATGTCCCTGGTTACTATTCTACTCTTCAGAAAAACAAGTTTTACAGATGTATTCTCAACAGTTCCCTTCTCAGTACTGAGGGCATTTCTGTGATTACATCTTAACCATGGGTGACTGCAAATCTATCATACTGCCCACCAGCCTATGTGAACTACTCCGGACCATCATTTCTCTCCCATTGTACAACAAATCATGAACACATGGCCAAAAATGGCATGTGGTTGATCATCTTCAATGCCCAACTTAGTGTTCCATAGGTTTTTCTATATTTGATTCAGTTGATAGGAAAACTCTGAAGGTGAGAGTAGGTGATGTGCACAGAGTAACACCAGGTTGTAAAAATTCTAAAATGAGGCCAGGCGTGGTGGCTCACACCTGTAATCCCAGCACTTTGGGAGGCCAAGGCGGGTGGATCACCTGAGGTTGGGAGTTCAAGACCAGCCTGGCCAACATGGTGAAACCCCCGTCTCTACTAAAAAAATACAAAAATTAGCCAGGTGTGGTGGTGTTTGCCTGTAGTCCCAGCTACTTGTGAGGCTGAGACAGGAGAACTGCTTGAACCCAGGAGGCAGAGGCTGCAGTGAGCTGAGATAGCGCCACTGCACTCCAGCCTGGGCAACAGAGCGAGACTCTTATCTCAAAAATAAATAAATTAAATAAAAAATCTAAAATAAAAAAATAGAGCAATATTAAAGGAAGAACCCATGGAATTGAAATTACCATAGGCACACTTAGAGCCTCCTTTGGTGAGTACAGTGAGTGGAGTGATAATTTAATTTAAAATTGCATTCGTTATTTAAATTTGCAGATTTTTTTTCTGTACTTGTGGCTCATTTGTGGATATCACACCTTTGCTCTCCATGGGTTCTGTGACTAAAGAGATATTTCAGTAGCATGGCTGGTTTTCTTTTCCTTCTTTCCTCTGATCTCTGTTGTTAGGCATGTGTAAGTAACAGTAAGGCTGTGAAATTTGTCTTACGCACAAGCCATTTAGCCATTTAGCAGCCAAGCCATGAAAAATCCTGAGATGTGAAGGGCTGGGAGGGTGATTTCTCAAGGTAAAATGTATCACATTGTTTTGTTTCGTAGTTCTTAAAAAATCCCCATACAAATGTTTCTTCGTTTCTCCAGTTCGGAAAATTTTTATGTAAAATGTCCATTATTCTAAATATATCTTATTAGAGGTTAAAGGACCAGACAGCACCAGCATAGTAGAATTAAAGTGACTTCAAGTCTGGTGGGAGGTCCATTGTTGGGAACACTAAAGAACTCAAGATGCACTTCTTCCCTTTTGAGATTGTGGAGTCATTTTGTTTTTATTTCATCAAAACAATATAAGTAATCAAGTGACAGAGATACATCAGAAATGATGTCAGCAGGCAGTCAGATGCTCAGGGTCACCGCCTGGAAAGTGCTGTTAGAAGCTCAAGGCCTCTGATTCCTCTGGGCTTGGTCACTGATGGAGAAGCTGACATAATTAAACCACTTTATTTTAATAGAGCTGCTTCCTATCATACCTGTGAGTATGTGCGTCACAACGTCCCAATATGTATCTTTTATAAATTTATTCGATAATGAAAGAAATAGAGGCACATACAGATGAGGAAAATGCAGATGAGTTTAAAAAGATAAAGGTCCAGGTAGTAACAGTTTGGCCCCATGCTTGTGTTGATATAAAAAAATGGTTTTAACAACTAAAAAGTCATTGCTTACATGATACATTTTTAGGCGTGACGTCGCAAAAGTTTGGTCATCAGTTCTTCCAATATGCTTTCTCTTAGAGGCTGAGTTCTGGCTCAGTACATTGTTACACAGGTCCAACTCCTCAAATCGCGGCAAACATGCAGTAATGTAAATTTCAATTAAACGTTAATTCACATAAAAGACAGGTCTGCTTTGCCTCTTGCTGCTGGCCTCTGCCGCCCAGTGATGCCTCTCCTTTGCCCGTTTCTGCTCAGCAGACTCCGCGTGGACGGTGGTGCGGCACGGTGGCCCCGACGCGGTGACCCTCCGAGGTGCCCCCAGTGGGCACCCGCGCTCGGCTGTGTCCTTCGCGTACGCAGCGGGCGCGGGGCAGCTGCGGGCCGCGGTGAACCTGGCGGAGCGCTGAGGGCAGCGGCTGGCTCTGCTCTGCGGGACAGCGCGGCGCCCGGACTCACAAGGTAAGCGCCACTGCTGGAGGCTACAGGGGCTCACGAGGCCGGGGCGCGGCCCTCGGGCTGCGAGATGCCTTTGAGGGAGAAAAGGCCAGGGTCCCTCCCGTGGCTCTTAGTTCAAAGCCCTGACCGCTCTCTCCTTCTCTTCGCGCTCTTGGTTGGACCAAAGAGCATTCAAGAGCGCCTTCCTGACCATTGAGAGACGTTCAGCGCGTTCATATGCAGGACTAGTGACTTGTCCTTTCTTAATCAAGGGAAATTTTGCTAATAACTTATGCCTTAGCTTTCCGTTCACACTGAGGAGATAATGGCTGTAGGGCAGGCTGGGTCTAACAGTTCTTCATGAAGACCAGTGGGAACCGGTAACCTCCTTACTCTTCTCAAAGTCTTCCTCTAAATCTACTTGGAACCTTTGTTTCCTCCCTTTAGATTAACTGAATATGCCCTTCCTCAGCCCCGCCACTTTCACTGTGGTCTAGGATGAAATAATGACTAGGGTTATTAAAACCTTTTGTCAGTGGGTGTCTCATTTTTTTGAAATTATATCTTGAGAAATGTATACCTTAATCTTCATATATGGAAGTAATGTTTTGGAAACTCTGCCTGCATCAAAACCGTCTTCTCCTAAGTTAAAGACCAACTTCCCCCTCCTTTCCAGAATCCCCACAGTCCCCTGCAGGACTCACCGCTGCTCTCCAACAGTTTCCATATAGTTTCTTGAAAGCACTTTATTGCTAATTATAGTTAAATACTGAAATTTGCCTTTCATTTTTTTAGTTTTAGCAATCCCAAATAGTATATAGGTGGGAGGATCACTGGAGCCCAGGAAGTCCAGGCTGCAGTGAGCTGTGATTGCTTCACTGCCTCCAGCTTGGGCAGCAGAGCAACACCTTGTCTTAAAAAAACAAAAACAGTGTATGTCGGTAGCATAATAAAGCCACTTAAATTAAATTTCACTCTTAAATTTTCAATACAAAATCTTTAAGTTGGAAAGTGGTGTATGACTGTCATCTGAAGGTGGTTTGCGCTGATCCACTAACCCATACCTGCATTGCCTTCCCTAATCCGTCTGGCCAATCAGCCCCTGGAATATGCCAGACCATTTCCTCTGCCTGGATTGGCCTCTCTGTCACCCAGGCTGGAGTGCAGTGGCACGATCTTTGCTCACTGCAACCCCCTCCCCTCCCGGATTCAAGCGATTCTCCTGCCTCAGCCTCCCGAATAGCTGAGAATACAGGCAGGTGCCGCCACACCCGGCTAATTTTTGTATTTTTAGTAGAGACGGGGTTTCACCGTGTTGGTCAGGCTGTTCTTGAACTCCTGACCTCAGGTGATCCGCCCGCCTCAGCCTCCCAAAGTGTTGGGATTACAGGCGTGAGCCACCGCGCCCGGCCCTCACACTCTTAAATCTTACCCACTGTGCTAGACCTGTGCAGTCGGCATCTGGGTCCCTTCCCAGGGTGATCCCTCTCTCCCCTGGATGCCTGCCAGCCAATTTGGTCTAGTAGAAAGAGCAAAGGTCTGGTTGCATTCAAAGTTTGAAGTTCAAGTGCTAAGTCTGTCACTTAGCAGTTGTGGAAATTTAGGCCATTCCTTAATCTTTTTCAGACTTTGTTTCCTCTTTGATGAAATGGACCCTGTAGTACTGATCTCATGGGGTTTCTTTTATAAATGAGATATCTTACATAAGTTCAGTAAGTAAGAAACTCTCCTTCCCAGTTCTCCAGTTTTTTAAAGTTGGCATTACAAAACTTAATTATTTGTTAGTTCATTGCTGTTGAATGAAGTGTAGCCTTGGCTTTGGAATTGTTTAAAAAAAAAATCCCCAGGTGATCTTTTGGAAACTACTGGGCTAGGGGCTAAAATAACACAAGAAATGGAATATTCTACTCCCATCAGTGAGAATTTCCCTATTTCTCCTCTTTTGAAAAGATAATTTAAAAAAAATTTTGAGATAATTGTAGATTTACATACACTTGTGAGAAGTAACAGAGAGAACCCGAGTAGCCGTTAAGCAGTTCCCCCACCCCAAGGTGACATCTTGTAGAAGTATAGTGCAATATCACAGCCGGAATCTTGACATCCATACAGTCAAGATACACAGTATTTCCATCAGCACAAGAATTCCTCCTATTGGCCGGGCACGGTGGCTCATGCCTGTAATCCCAACACTTCGGGAGGCCGAGGCGGGCGGATCACGAGGTCAGGAAATCAGACCATCCTGGCTAACACGATGAAACCCCGTCTCTACTAAAAATACAAAAAAGTAGCCAGGTGTGGTGGCGGGTGCCTATAGTCTACTTGGGAGGCTGAGGCAGGAGAATGGCGTGAACCCGGGAGGTGGAGCTTGCAGTGAGCCGAGATGGCGCCAATGCACTCCAGCCTGGGCGACAGAGCAAGACTCCGTTCCGTCTCAAAAAAAAAAAAAAAAAAGAATTCCTCCTATTGCTCTATTGCTCGTTAATAACCACTAGTATGTTCTCCATTTCTATGGGTTTTTTTAAACTTCAAGAATGTTATGTAAATGAAATATATAGTATGTACTCTTTGTGGTTGAGTTTTTTTCACTCTGTGTAATCCTCTCTAGATTCATTTGCATAATTGTGTATATCAGTAATTTGTTCCTTTTCATTGCTGATTAGCAATCGGTGGCATGGATATACCAGAGTTTATTCACTCATTGAAGGGCATCTGGGTTGTTTGTTTACAGTTTGGGGCAATTATGAATAAAGCTTTTATGAACATTGTGTACAGGTTTTGTGTGAACATTAGTTTTCATTTCTCTGGAATTAATGCCCCAAAGTGCAATAGGTGGGTCATATATGGTAATTGCATACTTAGTTTTATAAAAAGCTGCCAAATTGTTTTCTAGAATGGTTGTACCATTCCCACCAACAGTGTATGATTTCATTTCCTCCACATGCTCATCAGCATTTGGTGTTGTGACTATTTTTTATTTTAGCTATTCTGATAACTGTGTAGTAATATCTTTATTGTGGTTTTAATTTGTGTCTCCCTGATGTCTAATAATATTGAGCATGTTTTATATGCTTATTTGCCATCTGTATATCGTTTTCAGTGAGATAGATGTCTGTGAATGTGTTTTTGTTGTTGTTCATTTTCTAATTGGATTGTTTGGATTTGTTTTGTTACTGTTGAATTTTCAGTTCTTTATATATTCTAGATACTAGCCTTTTGTTGGATATGTGATTTGCGAATATTTTTTCCCACTCTGTTGCTTGCCTATTCATTGACTCTTAACTGGAATTTTTTAGAGCAAAAGTTTTAATTTTGATGAGATTCAGTTTATCATATTTTCCTTTTATGGGTTGTACACATCGTGTCAATTCTAAAAATTCTTTACCTAACCCTAAATTCCAATTCCAAAGATTTTTGAATTTTTTTCCTAAAAGTTGTATAGTTTTACCTTTTACTTTTAATTCCATGCCCTATTTTGGGACACATTTTATATAAGATGTGAGAGTTGATTCTCTCTCACTCTCTCTGACTATGAATGTTCAGTTGCTCCAGAACCATTTGTTGAAAAGGCTATCCTTCCTGCATTGAATTGCATTTTAAATAGTGTTAAAAATTGGTTGAACTTACTTGTGTGGTGGGTCTGTTTCTGCATTCTTTATCTGTTTCATTAATTTATATGCCTCCACCAATATCACACTGTCTTGAACGTGGTAGCTGTATAGCAGGGTTGAGTTATTCCTCCTGCTTTATTCTTCTTTTTCAAGATTGTTTAAGTCTGTAGCTTGCCTCATTCTGTATAAATTTTGTAATAAATTTGTTTATGTCTACAAACATCTTGCTAGAATTTTTATGGGAATGACATTAAACATAATAGCTCAATGAAGGGAAAATTGGTGTTTTACTGTTTTGAGTCTTCCAATCCATGAACATGAGATATCTTTCCATTTATTTGGATCTTTGATTTCTTGCCTCAGCATTTTGTAATTCTTAGCATCCAGAGATTATATGTTTTATAAGTATGCTTAGGCATTTAGTTAGTTTCTTGATTGATTGTAAGTGCTGTTGTGCTTTAAATTTTTGTTTACATATGTTTCTTGTTAGAATATGAAATATGATTGTTTCATACTAATCTTATAAGCTCTTTTTTGAACTTAATTTTTTTTTAGATTCCTTGGGATTTTCTATATGGAAAATCATGTCATCTGCAAGTAGAGTCAGCTTTATTTCTTCCTCGTCAATCTGTAGGGAGTTAATTTATTTTTCTTGCTTTATTGCAGTAGCTAGACTTTCAATACTAGGTTGAACTAGAGTGGTGAGGACAGACATCCTTGCCTTGTTTCCTGTCTTAGGGGAAAAGCATTCATTCTTGTTTCCTATGTTATGTGGAGGTAGTTCCCTTTTATTCCTGGTTGGCTGACAGTTTTTATTTTGAAAGGACATTGGATTTTTGTCAAATGTCTTTTCTGTGTCAATTGGTATTAAAATATTATATTTCTTCTTTTGTCTGTTGATATGTTGAATCAGCTTTGCATAACTAGAGCAACTCCCATTTCGCCATAATGTATAATTTAAAAAATACATTTCTAATGTGTTTGATTTATTAATATTTTATTGAATATTTTTGCATTCAAATTCATAAGAGATATTGATATGTAGTTTTCTTTTTTCATATTGTCTTTATCTGGTTTCAGTATCAGGACAATACTGCCTACATAAAATGAATTTGGTAGCATTCTCTAGTCTCCTGTTTTCTGGAAGAGATTATGTAAAATTGACTTTAATTTTTATTTAAACATTTGGTAGAATTCTCCAGTAAGGCCCGGCAGGGTGGCTCATGCCTGTGATCCCAGCACTTTGGGAGGCTGAGGCAGATGGATCACTTGAGGTCAGGAGTTCGAGACCTGCCTGGCCAACATGGTGAAACCCCGTCTCCACTAAAAATACAAAAATTAGTTGGGTGTGGTGGCACACACCTATAATCCCAGCTACTCAGGAGGCTGAGGCAGGAGAATCGCTTGAACTTGGGAGGCAGAGGTTGCAGTGAGCCAAGATCACACCACTGCACTCCAGCCTGGGCAACAGAACGAGATTTCATCTCAAAAATAAAAACCAAAAACAAAACAAAACAAAAAGAATTCTCCAGTAAAACCATCTGGGCCAAGAGATTTTTTTTTCAGTAATTTTAAATTATGAATTCAATTTTCTTAATAATTACAATTACTTAAATTACCTATTTCATGTTAGGTGAATTGTGGTAGTTTGTACTTTTTGAGAAATTTGTCCATTAATCTGAATTGTCAAGTTGATTTGTGTAGAATTATTTATAGTATTTTCTTATTATTCGTTTGATGTCTCCAGCATCTGTAGTGATATCCACTTAAATTTCTCATATTTATAGTTTGTCTCATCTTTTTTTGTCTCTGTCAGTCTTTATAGAAGTTTTTCAATCTTACTGTTTTTTAGAACTAGATTTTCATTTCATGATTTTCTCTATTATTTTTGTTTCAAATTCTATTGAAATCTGCTCTTCTCTTTGTTATCTCCTTCCTTCAGCTTGTATGAGTTAATTTTGTTTTCTAGTTTCTAGAGGTAAGAACTTACATTATTGGCTTTAGGGCTTTCTTCTTTCCTAATGTAGGCATTTAATGCTACATTTTCCCTATCAACACAGTTTTACCTACATTTCACATATTTTGATATGTTGTATTCTCATTTTCATTTAGTTTTTCATGTAGTTTCATTTTCATTTAAGTATTTTAATAAATTTCTTTGAAGCATATTCTTTGACCTGTAGCTTATTTAGAAGTGTATTTTTAAAAATTTCTAAGTGTTTAGAGATTTTCTTTTTCTCTTTCTGGTATTGATTTCCAGTTTGATTCCATTATGCTCAGAGAATATACTTTGTGTGATTTTAGTTCTTTTAAATACGTTGAGGTTTGTTTGGCTCCCAGGGATATGGTCTGTCTTGTAAATTTTTCATGGGCATTTGAAAAAAAAATGTATATTCTGCTATTCTTAAGTGGAGTATTCTGTATGTATTTCAATGAGATCCTGTTGGTTGATTATGTTGTTCAGATCTTGTATATCCTTGCTGACTTCTTGTCCAGTAGTTCTGTCAGTTGCTAAGAGAGACATTTTGAAATCTGTACTATAATTGTGGATCTGTTTATTTTTCCATTCTGCTCCATCAGTTTTCTTATATTAATAGGCTTTATATTTTTTAGCAATTTTAAGTTTACATAGAAATTGAGCAGAAAGTACTGGAAGCATATGATTTTTATTCTTTAGCTTGTTGATCTGATGGACTATATTAATTAATTTTCAAATGTTAAAGGCATATCTAGAGTAAATCCCACTTGGTTGTGGTGTTTATTTTTAAAAATTGTTTGGTTCAATTTGCTAATATTTTTTAAGGATTGCTTCATCCATGTTCAAGGGAGATATTTGTTTGCAGTTTACTTTTTTGTAAGGTTTTGCTGGTTTGGGTATTAGGGTAATGCTGGCCCATGGAATGAGTTAAGAAATAGTCACTCTGCTTCTATTTTCTGCAACAGATTGTGGAAAATTGGTATCATTTATTTCTCCAATGTTGATAGAACTCACCAGTGAATCATCTGGGCTTGGTACTTTCTGTTTGGGAAGGTTATTAATTACTGCCTTAGTTAAAAAATTTTGTTTCTCTCGAGACTTTCTCTTTCACCATGTTTTATTATTTAGAAATGTGTTTTTAAATTTTTTGGTATTTGAGGATATTTCAGCTCTCTTTCTGCTATTATTAGTTTAATTCCATTCTGATTCAAGAACATGCCTTTTGTGATTTCTATTCTTTTAAATTTGGTAAAGTGTTCTGTGGCCTAGAATGTGGTTTAACTTAATGAATTGTGCATTTGTATTTGAGAAGAATGTGTATTCTGCAGTGTCTAGATAAAATATTCTATAACGCTAATTGAATTCTAAAGTATTCAGTTAGATCCAGTTGATTGATGGTGCTGTTCAGTTCAAATCTATCCTTAATGATTTTCTTCCTGCTGAGTCTGTCACTTACTCATAGAGGGGTGTTGAAGTCTCCAGTGGTAATAATGGATGTGTCTCTCTGTCCTTGCAGTTCTATCAGTTTCCCCCTAATATATTTTGACTCTTCTGTTGCTAGGTATATACATATTAAGCATTATTATATCTTCTTGTTATATTGACCCCTTTATTATTGTGTAATGCCCTTTTTCATCTCGGATAATTTACCTTGCTCTGCAGTTGGCTTTGTCTAAAATTAATTTAGATACTCTGTCTTTCTTTTTGGTTAGTGTTACCATGGTATATCTTTCTCTAGCGCTTCAAATCTACCTGCTATTTTATATTTAAAGAGGATTTCAGTAGACAACATGTAGGTGGATCATGGGTTTTGTTGTTGTTGTTCACTCTGACAGTCTCAGTCTTTTATTTTATTATTATCATACCTTAATTTCTAGGGTACATGTGCACAACATGCAGGTTTGTTACATATGTATCCATATGTTAATTGTGTGCTGCACCCATTAACTCATCATTTACATTAGCTATATCTCCTAATGCTATTCCTCCCCTCTCCCCACACCCCATGACAGGCCCCGGTGTGTGATGTTCCCCTTCCTGTGTCCAAGTGTTCTCATTGTTCAATTCCCACCTATGAGTGCGAACATGCAGTGTTTGGTTTTTTGTCCTTGCGATAGTTTGCTGAGAATGATGGTTTCCAGCTTCATCCATGGCCCTACAAAGGACATGAACTCATCCTTTTTCATGGCTGCATAGTATTCCATGGTATATATGTACCACATTTTCTTAATCCAGTCTGTCATTGATGGACATTTGGGTTGGTTCCAAGTCTTTGCTATTGTGAATACTGCCTCAGTAAACATATGTGTGCATGTGTCTTTATAGCAGCATGATTTATAATCCTTTGGGTATATACCCAGTAATGGGATGGCTGGGTCAAATGGTATTTCTAGTTCTAGATCCATGAGGAATCGCAACACTGTCTTCCACAATGGTTGAACTAGTTTACAGTCCCACCAACAGTCTAAAAGTGTTCCTATTTCTCCACATCCTCTCCTGCACCTGTTGTTTCCTGACTTTTTAATGATCGTCATTCTAACTGGTGTGAGATGGTATCTCATTGTGGTTTTGATTTGCATTTCTCTGATGGCCAGTGATGATGAGCATTTTTTCATGTGTCTGTTGGCTGCATAAATGTCTTCTTTTGAGAAGTGTCTGTTCATATACTTCGCCCACTTTTTGATGAGGTTGATTTTTTCTTGTAAATTTGTTTAAGTTCTGTGTAGATTCTGGATATTAGCCCTTTGTTAGATGGGTAGATTGCAAAAATTTTCTCCCATTCTATAGGTTGCCTGTTCACTCTGATTTTAGTTTCTTTTGCTGTGCAGAAGCTCTTTAGTTTAATTAGATCCCATTTGTCAATTTTGGCTTTTGTTGCCATTGCTTTCTTAATTGGTATATTTAGACTGTTTACATTTAAAGTGATTATTGATACTTGGATTAATATTTGCCATATTGTAACTCTTTTTTATTTGTTGCCCTTGTTTCTTCTTTTTTTCCTGAATTCCCCTCTCACATTTTTTGTTTTAATTGAGCATTTTATATGATTCCATATCCTCACTTCTCCTAGAATATTAATTACATTTCTTGGTAATTGTTTTAGTGGTAGCCTTTGAGTATGAAATGTACACTATAACAATCTACTTTCAAATAACACTATTCCACTTCATTAATGGTGCTGGTACTTTATAACACAGCATTTCCAATCCTTCTGTCTTATTTTGTATTACATTATTATCATTCATTTTACTTATTCATAAGCCATAATCACCCAATACATTGTTAGTATTATTTAGAGCTGTTACCTATTACATCAATTAAGAAGAAGACACTAGATTTTATTTTAATTTTTTTCTTCTCTAATGCTCCTACCTTTCTTTATGTATTTCTGTGTTTTTGACCTATATTGTTTTTCTTTTCTCTGAGGAACTTCTATTAACATGGCTTGCAAGGTAGGTCTACTGGAGAAAGATTTCCTCAATTCTGTTTATCTAAGTCTTTATTTCTACTTTACTATTTAGGATAATTTTACTGGATATAGAATTTTATATTAGTGTGTGTTTTCTCTCAACAGTTTAAATATTTCACTTCACTTTCTTCTTGCTTGCATGGTTTCTTAAGGGAAATCTGGCATAATTCTCATTCTTGCTCCTATGTAGGTAAGGTGTTTTATTTTACTGTGGTTTATTTCGGGATTTTATTTTTAAAAGATTTTATTTTAATTTTAAGAAAGTCTTCAATTTTTTGCAATTTGAACATGAGATGCCTAGGTGTGGATTTTTTTGTATTTAACCTGCTTGGTGTTTGCTGAGATTCCTGAACCTATGGTTTCATGTCTGTCATTAATTTTGAAACATTCTCAACTGTCATTATTTTAAATATTTCTTCTGGTTCTCACTCTCTTCCTTCTACTTCTGGTATTCCGATTATGGGTTACATAGGTTACACCGTTTGAAATTATCCAACAGGGCCGGGCGCGGTGACTCACTTGCCTGTAATCCCAGCACTTTGGGAGGCCGAGGCGGGCGGATCACAAGTTCAGGAGATCCAGACCATCCTGGCTACCACGGGGAAACCACGCCTCTACTAAAAATACAAAAAATTAGCTGGGCGTGGTGGCAGGCGCCTGTAGTCCCAGCTACTCGGGAGGCTGAGGCAGGAGAATGGCGTGAACCCAGGAGGCGGAGCTTGCAGTGAGCCGAGATTGCACCACTGCACTCCAGCCTGGGCGACAGAGAGAGACTCCATCTCAAAAAAAAAAAAAAAAAAATTATTGTCCAACAGTTTGGATATTATGTTTCATTTTTCATTCTTTTTCTCTTTGTTTTTAATGGAAAATTTTCATTGACATATCTTCAAACTCACTGATTCTTTCCTCAGCACTTCCCAGTCTTCCCAGACTTTGATGAGGCCATCAAAGACATTCTACAATTTTTACTTTTAATCTCTGTATTTCCTTCTGATTTTGAGATTTCATATCTTTGTTTATAGTACCTATCTCTCCTTGCATGTTGCCCACTTTTTCAACATAGAGCCTTTAGCATATTGATTATTATTTCAAATTCCTTATCTGATATTTCCAAATCTGTCACATCTGCATGTTTGCTTGATTCGTCTCATAAGACTGTATTGTTTGGCTTTAGCATACCTTGCAATTTTCTGTTGAAAGCCAGACATGTTGTATTGGCAAAGGAACTGAGGTAAGGAAGCCTTTAATGTAAGGTTTTATGTTTATCTAGTTAGTAGTTAGGCTGAATTTGCTCTTTGCATAACTGTGGTGTCAGAGGCCAAAATTTCCTCTAAGGTTATTTTATTTTTCTTTCTTCCGTTTTGAGTTTTCCCAGAGACTCTGTCTTAAATAGGGTCTAAAATTCACAGCTCTTTCATTTTTAATCTCCTGTTACTATACAGGTAATGTACTGATCTGATTGATGATAAGGTGCGGGGAGAGGAGAAGCATCCTATACTCTTTTTTTTTTAATGTTTTTATTTTATTTTAATTTTTTTGAGAGAGTCTCGCTCTGTAGCCCAGGCTGGAGTGCAGTGGCGCCATCTCAGCTCACTGCAAGCTCCGTCTCCCGGGTTCACGCCATCCTCCCGCCTCAGCCTCCTGAGTAGCTGGGACTACAGGCGCCCGCCACCACGCCCGGCTAATTTTTTTCTATTTTTAGTAGATACGGGGTTTCACCATGTTAGCCAGGATGGTCTGGATCTCCTGACCTCGTGATCCGCCCGCCTCAGCCTCCCAAAATGCTGGGATTACAGGCTTGAGCCACCTCACCCGGCCCAATTTTTTGTATTTTTAGTAGAGATGGGGTTTCACCATGTTAGCCAGGATGGTCTTGATCTCCTGACCTCATGATCTGCCCGCCTCGGCCTCCCAAAGTGCTGAGATTACAGGCGTGAGCCACCGCGCCCGGCCAGAAGCATCCTGTACTCTTAGGATTAGGTCAGTCTTTTAGAGAACCTGTCTTCCTGGACTGTGACCTTCAGAGTGCTTCTCAGCTTCCTTCCCCTTCCCTTGGGTAAGAAAAGAAGGGTAGAGGGGGCTGGTTCTGGATATTTCCATTCCCCTAGGTGGTTTAGGCTCTAGTAAACTAGCTTTTCGGGGGATTAGAATGTTGTTAAGGAGAACATAATGTTCTGCGCTTATTTCAAAAATGTTTACTCCTTCCCTCCCCCTGCTGGAGACATAAGAGCATTTTTTTCCTATCTTTATTCTGAGAACTTGATGGGGCTCTTCCTGGAGATAAAACTCTTGAAGGTGTGTTGACCCTCTAAGGCGTATCCCCCACTCTAGGAGTTTTCAATCTCTGTAGCTTGTCCTTGCTCAGTATCCATCAATTAGTCAGTTACATTTTAAGTGCTTTTACCAGACTCCACCATCTGCTTTGGCTCCATTAGCCGTGATGCTGTTTTCAGTTGTCTCTGCAGCTTTAGGAGTAATGTTTGCCCTATGACTTTAACTGTGTAAGAAGAACTGTTTATTTTTAGTTAGTGCAGCTTTTTTCTTGTTGTGAGAATGGGAGCGATGACTTCCAGACTCTTAACGTCATATCAGATTGGAAACCAGAAGTCTCAATTTTTGCCTCATTTTTTTAAGGGTGTATTGTTTCTTGCATATGCATTTATGTCTTCCTGGTGATTTTTTTAAAAATCATTATGTAATGTCCCTGTTCTAGTATTTTTGTTCTGAAGTCTATTTTATGAGATAGCCATTCTGCTTTCTTTCAAATTTAATTTTTGCAGAGTGTATTTTTTCCATCCTTTTACTTTTAACCTGCCTATGTTTATTTTGAAGTGAGTTTCTTATAAATTTCTCGTTGTGTTATTTTTTTTTCAGTTGATTCTGCCAACATCTAACTTTTGTTATATTTTAACCATTTACATTTAAGGTAATTTTTATAATTTTCTTACTCGTTGCTTGGTATTATAGTGTACATATGTGACTTACCACAGTCAACTTAAATATCTTCACTCTCATAATGAAATATGGAATCCTTATGTCTATTTGGGTCCTTTATCTTCCCCACTTCTAAATATCATTGTCTTGAGTATCATATGGTATTACAGTTTTTGTGTCAATTATCATATGTCATTTCAAAAATTGATAAGGATAGTCTATTATATTTATCCATATTTCTTCTCTTTTCATTTTTTTCCTGATGTTCCAAGAATCCTTTGTTATAATTTCCTTTCTTTTTGAAAAACCTCCTTTAGCCATTCTTTAGGGAATGTCTGCTAGCGACAAATTATTTTAGTTTTCTTTTGTGTTAAAAAGGTTTTTTGTTGTTGTTATTGTTTTGGAGATGGAGTCTCACTCTGTCGCCCAGGTTGGAGTGCAGTGGCACAATCTCGGCTCACTGCAGGCTCCGCCTCCCGGGTTCACGCCATTCTCCTGCCTCAGCCTCCTGAGTAGCTGGGACTACAGGCTCCCGCCGCTACGCTCGTCTATTTTTTGTATTTTTAGTAGAGACGGGGTTTCACCGTGTTAGCCAGGATGGTCTCGATCTGACCTCGTGATCCGCCCACCTCGGCCTCCGAAAGTCCTGGGATTACAGGCGTGAGCCACCGCACCCGGCCTAAAAAGATTTTATTTCCATTTTATTCTTGAAGGATAGTTTCTCTGGGTATATAATTTATAGTTGACAATTTTTTTTCTATCAGCCCTGAAAAAAAATATGCCATTCCTTCTGGTTCTGTAATTTCAGATGAGTAATCTACTATCATTCAAATTAGGGTTCTTTTACAGGCAGGTAATGTGTTATTCTCTCAGGCTGCTTTCAAGATTTGTTTTGTTTTGTTTCCAAAAAGTTCAATTATGATGGATCTTGGTGTCGATATTTTTGGGTTTATCCTTTTTTGGACTTAAACTTAACTTCCTAAATCTGTGGGTTTGTATCTTTCACCACATGTGGGAAGTTTACAGCCAGTATTTTTTCAGTACTCTTTCAGCACACTTTGTTCTCTCTTTTTGAGATTCGGATGATATTGTCTGATAGGACCCTATGGCTCAGTTCTTTTTATATTCAGTCTGTTCTCTCTTTTTTGGTCAGGTTAGATAAAGCCTATTGATGGGCCCTCAAGTTCAGTGATTCTGTCCTGTGTTTTTTCACTCTATTCTTGAGCCCATTCAGAGTTTTTTAAAACGTTATGTTATTGTATCTTCCAGTCCTGGGGTCCTAAGCTTCCTCTTTCTACCTTTCAGAATTCTCTTCGGTTGTCTTCTGTATTATTTCCAGAATCTATCATTATACTTGGTGGAAATAGCAGGGATAGACAAGTCTACAAGATCTTTTATCAGTCTAGAAGTTCACCCACTTACATCTTTTTGTTACTGTTTCTAAAAAAATACATTTTTACTACTTTATGGGGAATATGGGAGATTTAGATGTAAATTTATACTTGTACATTAGGATATAATGAGTGTTTTGCTCTTTAATCTGCGACAGTTTAATGGTGAAGTCGGTAACTTTTAAAGTGGCATTCCGAGAAGAGTGTATTAATTTTTAAAAATATCTTTTACGTTGTAGTAACAAGCTTTTAGCACATTTTTAAAAGATTCCTGGTACTAATCCCTCTTTAAATTTTCCCAGATTGCCTTTTTTGTTGTTGTTTTTTTTGTTTTTTGGCAGAGGGGCAGGTGATGGATAGTGGTGGTGGTAATGAATGCAGAGATCTTATCTATGAATGAGTTATAATTGAGTTGTAATAAGCAGTAAGGTAGAAGCTAAGTTCCAGATCTCGATTCATATTCCAATGGTAACAAGCTATTGAAATTTGAAAAACAGCACCACATGATCAAGCATGTTTAAAAAACTGGTTGAGTTAATCCAATTTCATTTTCCTCATGGCCTAATCTGTGATGACTGCAACTTGTGGCCTCTGACCCCTTTCCTTTTTTAAGATAGGTGGCCTGACACCTGCTTTTTAAATTATCCTAACTTTACTGTGATGTGCTGTCAGTCCATCACCCCAATCTTCACTCCCAACCCCTGGCAGCATCCCTTGTCCTAATATGCAGTTCTATAGATCTGAGTTAGTGTCTGACTCTATCATTTAATCATTGTCAGTGCTGAGAAGGAGGCGCACTCCTCAGAGCTGTAGTTGACCCAGGGCACTTTGTTTCTTTGCATGAGAAATCTCTAACCTCAGAGATGAGAAAAGCCTATCAATGTCATTCCTTAACCTCCAAATAAAGAGTCAGGACATCCAATGCAATAAAAACAAATACCTCCAAAAATTAGTAAGTACTGACAGAGAGTACGTGTATCTTTCCAAATGTGTAATATACAGGTAGTTAGCAAAAAGATGGGATGAGATAAATCAATGTCTTTGTATAATATTAAACTTTCTCAATGAACATTTCATAATTTCAAATAGATTTTATCTTTAGTGTGCAAATTACTCTGGTATTTATTTTAATGGTGAATTTTTTTGAATGTTATTTCTATAGAAAGTATGTATCACATGCAACTGACTGATTTCTAATAGAAGAAAAATAGATGGAATCATTTAAGCCTAGATATTGAAATATTGGGGGAAAAACATTGGTTAGGCTTAAAGAAACATTTCAGAGGTAAAATACAAGTGTTTAAGTATAGTTTCATTTTCTCTCTCTCTGCCTCTCACACATACACTTTACACCTGGGAGTAAAGGGAGCTATATGGGGAGGGTGATAGTGAGGGACAAAGTAGATGTCATCTTTCTTATACTTGTCTTTCAGATGGAACCCCACTGAGCTGGTGGGTTGGAAGAACCAATGAAACACACACTTCCTGGGGAGGTTCTCTGCCTGATGCTCAAAAGTGTACTTGTGGATTAGAGGGGAACTGCATTGATTCTCAGTATTACTGCAACTGTGATGCTGGCCGGAATGAATGGTGATTTCCACATGATTTCCCTGCACAAAAATGTGGTTTTTATTCTTTAATTATGCATAGTTAATTAAATGTCAGACAAGCTGGTACAATAAGGTAACTAGATTAAAGTATGTTCAAGCAAGCTGAAATACAAGTTTTGATGAAATATGATCAGTTAATCTAAGGATTAAATTTTATGACCAAAGATTTACTAATTCATTGTGAATACTATATAATGTGTTTTTTATTTTTCATAAAAGAGAAGCAGCTGTTAAGTTTTCCACTCACTGGAAATCAAATATCATTCTCTGCGAAGTTTAGTTAATTAATTAACGTAGTATTCATGTGGCAATTCAAAAAGCAAATTCCTCCAAATCTTTGTCTTAAATTGATTTGGGATATAATGCTGCATATTCTGTCTTTCTTTTAGAAATTAACATTAACACAAGAAACTCTGAGAGGTCCTGCATAAAAGGACTGTGTTTATTTTGTAGAAGCAACAATTTCCCACACTCATTGAAATCTTCAGTGCAATAGCAAAGCTTCAAGCACCAACTGTTCTGTAGACCATACTTTGAAACAACTAACATAGAATTTCCAGAATTTGAAAATTATTTTGTAAGCTTTCTTTTGAGCAGAAACAATTTTCTCATGTAGATTGCAATGCCTCTTTTTCAGAAGTTCTTTTTGAGGTTATTCTTGAAATGCATATTGGTTTTCTTTTTTTTTATTTGTAATATGTAAATGTTTTCAACCTTTGGGTTCATGTCAGCAACTTAAAAAGCATTGTCATAAAACAACTAGATCGTGTAGAGTACGTGCTTTAAAAAAAAACTTAGGCCAGGCACTGTGGCTCATGCCTGTAATCACAGCACTTTGGGAGGCCAAGGCAGGTGGATCACCTGAGGTCAGAAGGTTGAGACCAGCCTGGCCAATGTGGCGAAACCCCGTCTCCACTGAAAATACAAAAATTAGCCGGGTGTGGCTGTGTGTGCCTGTAGTCCCAGCTGCTCAGGAGGGTGAGACAGTAGAATTGCTTAACCCAGGAGGTAGAGGTTGCAGTGAGCCGAGATCGCGCCACTGCACTCCAGCCTGGGCGACAGAGCAAGACTCCACCTCAAAATAATAATAATAATAATTAATAAATAAAAAACGTAATGGTCAATCCAGGTGTCAGTATAATTGATTTGGACATAAAATAGCTAACCTAAGCAGTAATTTGATTCCTAAAAATTGAGTTGTTTGGCCTGCATGGTAGTCCACTTATTTATTTGGCATAAAAAGTCTACTTTGCATCACTTTAAAAAATATTGTGAAGTTGGGAAAACTCACTTGAATCTACTGGAGGTTTCTATAGAATACATACTATACATTTACATGGATATTATTTTTAATCTTCCTCAAGTTCAAAATTACAAAATGATCATACAGATTTATGAGACACTCTTTTTGAATATTTTGATATGCAATCTTAATACAACTTTCTCTTACTTAAAAATGAATGCAGTTTTAGTGCAGTGAGTAACAGGAACAGATCTGATCCATAGTTTCAAATCTGGCCACCAGTAAGTTTCAGGTCTGAAGTAATTTGCCGTCAGTTAAAATGGTTTTGTACCATATTTTGTATGATGTACATTTTAAAGTGTCTGGTATGATAATGTGATGATGTGTGTTAGCTTTGGGCTCTAATGAGACAAACAGCGACCTTCAAATCTTTTGACGGACATCTTTAACAATCCTGGAGGTTTTCATTTCCTCCATTCCACAAGGGGCTCCTGCCTGTGAGGGCTCCAGCCCTCCAGCTCCTGGCTGTTCAGAAGACCTCCAGCTCATTGGTCTGTCCCCACCCCCATTCTCTACAGGTCAGAAAGGAGAGCATTGGCAGGTTATTACAAGAAAGCCAGAATGGCATATATGCTAGTGGCTTTATAACTTAGTTCGAAGAATGTTAACCGTTTTGTTTTGTTTTTGTTTTGAGACAGAGTCTCTCTCTGTCGCCCAGGCTGGAATGCAGTGGTGCGATCTCAGCTCACTGCAACCTGCGCCTCCCGGATTCAAGTGATTCTCCTGCCTCAGCCTCCCGAGTAACTGAGATTACAGCCGAGTGCCACACCTGGCTAATTTTTGTATTTTTAGTAGAGACTGGGTTTCACTATTGGCCAGGCTGGTCAACTGTTTTTTTGTTACAGAACCTTCTGTTAGTATTAAGTGCATACTTTATTGTAGACTTCACGTATGCTTAGGGCAGTAACCAGAGGAACGTATCACTTGGAGCCACCTGTATTGAGTGACCCTCCCATGAACTGAGTTTGAGGAGGGGAATGGAAGGAACTGAGGTGGGTGCAGGTCCTCTGATACCCTTAGCCATGTCACTTCAGCACCGTCAAGGACTGCACTGGTGTGACAGAAGCCATGGGCTTTCATTTGGAAAAAAATTTAGGAGAGAAGCAGGTTTTAAAAATTAACTCCCCTCCTACATTCAGAAGGGAGCATTGTGGAGTCATTTGCTTTTTAACCTTATTTTATTTACTTTGCAGCTTCCAGTAGATAGGTCTATCCAACAGTAAGACCACAAGCATTCTGAAATCCTATCCCAACTCTTGTAGATTGTTTTGTAAATGTGGGGGTGTGTATGGGGGTGGGGGGGTGGGAAATTACAATTTCTATTTTAATTTTTCAAATAAAATTGATTTTTCAGTTTATAAAAATGGAATTTACCAGTCTCATGAAATGAAAAGATTTATAATTGTAATAATTTAGATTAAGGTATAGACATAAGAACATAAATCTTAGTCTTTATTACTTATTTTCTATTACTGAGGTGTGCCTAGTAAGGTTTTCCTGGTGGAAAGTTTATAATAAAAATAGTATTTGGGAATGAAAGTAAAGTGAAAGCTATTTTAAGTCTCTTCAGGCATATGTCCGTTAATGGGGCAGGCAGTATTGTTAATATAAACCATCGCCATTTTTCCATAAGTTGTCCCTGTAATCAGCAACTCGTCTAAGCATATTACTTAAAAAAAAGTTTATGATCAGACAGTTCCTCAGGCACAGTAAGAATATTCTATCAAATAACTATAACATGCCAAAGATTTATTATAAAAACAAATATATTTAAAAGGCACTATAATGATTTAAAATATTGAACTATGCTGCAAGTCAATATATGTGTATAAATGTATAGTGGACTATGTTCAAATAGACCAATATATTCTCTAAAATATACATATAACATATAATTCAGCTGTCTGCAAAAATCCACAAGTTGTTTTGCTAATATAATGATGACACATGTAACTGTAATATTATTTTACTTAAGAATTTAAATAGGACTTTTGTGTGATTACCTTAGAGTCTTTAAAAGTAACCACAAATAAAAAGCATAAAATAAGATGGTTTAAATGCATACAAGTGTACAAATAATCATAATAAATACGAGTAAACTCTGTTCATTTAAAAACCAGATATTAGATTTTATCATATTGGATTTTTAAAGAAGCTATAGCTTGTTTACAAAAGATAAAATATAAGCACTCGGTGAAGTTGAAACTAAAAGAATAGAAAATATTTACCACGTAAATACAAATCAAAAGAAAGCAGATATAGCTGTATTATGTCAGACAAAGATGAAAAGCATTGTTAGGGATAAACTTGAACTCTATCTAATGCTGAGATAAACTCACTAGAAAGATCTCACTACACTTGTGTGTATCATCAGATTGTTTAAAATATATAAAGAAGTGGCAGGGCGCCGTGGCTCACGCCTGTAATCCCAGCACTTTGGGAGGCCGAGGCGGGCAGATCACAAGGTCAGAAGATCGAGACCATCCTGGCTAACACAGGTGCAACCCCGTCTCTACTAAAAATACAAAAAATATTAGCCAGGCCTGGTGGTGGGCGCCTGTAGTCCCAGCTACTCGGGAGGCTGAGGCAGGAGAATGGCATGAACCTGGAAGGCAGAGCTTACAGTGAGCCAAGATCACACCACTGCACTCCAGCCTGGGCGACAGACCAAGACTCTGTCTCAAAAAAAAAAAAAAAAAAAAAAGTATGTGTGTGTGTGTATATATATATATGTGTGTGTGTATATATATGTGTGTGTATATATATGTGTGTGTGTGTATATATATATGTGTGTGTATATATATATATGTAACAAATATGCAAAGGCAAATTGACACCCAAAACAGTGGAATAATTAACATAACATTTTTGGGAATGAGTAAGTGAAGCAGGTAAGAATATTTTAATATTATAATTAACAAACTTGATATAGCAGCCATATATCGTTTAGTAAGGAAAAATTATTTCTTTATAGAATGTATTATACATTATTGTTGAATAAGTATAAAAAATTTTGTAAATGGATGGAATCTTAACAAATTTTACGGAATTGTCATGATGGAAACTATATTCTTAACTGTAATCAATAATGAATATATAATTTTTAAAAGCTCATGCATGTGTCAGTTAAAGACACAAGAGGAAATAAAATAGATGTAAGTGATAAAAAGTTTGGAAAAGAAACAAACCTGGCAGATATTGTAGATAATATGATTGCCTACATAGAAAATCCAAAATAATATAAAGAAATATCAGGAAAAATGAGAGTTCAGTAAGTTTGCTGAATTTATGGTCAGTCAGTATTGAGGAATTACTTGAATTTCTATAAAATCATAAAATACCATTACACACCTAGAAAAATTTTATTTGCAATATTAACAAAAATGTAAAGTTCTGTGGAATAACTGCAGTACTTTTATGGAAAAAATTACAAAACTTATTCAAGAGAATTAAGGACAGCCAAATAAATGGATTGACTCACTACTGTCGTGGATAGTATGACTCAGTATCTTAAAGCAGTAGTTCTCAATCGGGGGTGATTTCGACTCTTGGGACATTTGGCATTGTCTGAAGACATTTTTATCATCACAGAGAGAGGAAGGTTGTTTATATTAGTGTCTATTAATTAGAAATCAGGGTGCTGCTGAGCATCCTACAGTGCACAGGACAGCCCCCCCCATGACAAAAAAAAATTAGCCCAAAATATCAGTAACGCTGCTGTTGAGATACCCTCTTTTAAAGTTGACATTCTCCTCAAATTAGTCTGTAATTTTAACAAAATTCCAAAAAATGCCAAGTGTTTTTACTTGTGTGGATTGCAGCAACCTGGTTTTAAAATTCATATGGAAATTAAGGATGAAAGGATAAGCAAGATAATTTTTAAGATGAAAAATAAAGTGAAGAAACTAGTTCTGTTAGCTGTCAAAACATACTGTATTGCTGTAGTAATTAATGCAGGTTGAACTGGCCAGAAGATAGGCAATTAAACAGAAACTGAGAATCTAGAAATTTTTTAAGTGGGTTAGATGTGGATCATAATGATTTTATTATTGCTGACCTACTCCCCCAAAATAATCATTAACAGTTGGGCTGGGCGCGGTGGCTCACACTTGTTATCCCAGCACTTTGCGAGGCCAAGGCGGGCGGATCATGAAGTCAGAAGTTCGAGACCAGCCTGACCAACATGGTGAAACCCCGTCTATACTAAAAATACAAAAATTAGCTGAGCGTAGTGGCGCACGCATGTAATCCCAGCTACTCTGGAGGCTGAGGCAGGAGAATCGCTTGAATCCTGAGGGTGGAGGTTGCGGTGAGCAGAGATCACACCATTGCACTCCAGCCTGGGCGACAAGAGTGAGACTCTGTCTCGAAAAAAAAAAAAAAAAAAGTTAAAAAGTTGACTCAACATTTCTCCCTTTTAGCTTTCTTTGCAACCTCCCAAACTTATGGCTCTACTTTGCCTTAAATAAAGTTCCCTGGCAAATAATAAGTAGTAGCTTTTAGAAGTTTTCACACTTCCTAGGAAAGTACAATTTCCAGAACCGTAGGAATTTCTAATAAATAAAAATTTTAGTAAAATATAAAATAAAAGCAAAAAGTCTTTGAAAGTTCTCTTACTGAATTTTTAATACTGCTCCAAGAGATTATGGTACCTATGAAAGCACTATTTCCAAGTGTAGACTATAGTATAAGCTTTAGAAAATAATAGGGAGAAAAGAAAAATGAGATGTCCCTATTAATTAGGAAGTTTTGAGGAAGTCTGATAACTATTACAAATCCTGAGTATTCTATTTTGATTTCCAAAGGTTGGGAATCTGCCTGTAACAATAAGAAACTGGTGAAAAACACTGGCTATCTTTATGCTCAGAATGAAAACACCAGACTTTCCAAAACAATGAAAAAACAAGACTTTACTATAGTATCTGCCCTAATTAAACTGAAATGTGGATTTCATTTACACATTCTCAATATTTTGCACAGTCAGTATTGAAAATGGAATGAAACTTGGAGCTCCCGTGAAATAGATCTTTTAAAATACAAGCATCCTCCATAAATAATTAAATTGCATTTTCTCTACTAGACTATCTTGCTAAAATGATGATCACAGAAGTGGAAATGGTAATTTTTAATGGCTACCACATTAATAAAAAATTTCCTAGACCTACCTCATTCAGCAGGAGACATATTTCTAGCTTGTCTACCATCAATCCACTCTAAAGCTGAATGGTGATGCCTTTAGATAATCCATATTCTGTTCTTTGCATTAAAATGAATAACAGAATCTTAACTAGGTAAAGCAACAGGGTTTTAGTCTGAATTTTAGAAATAAGCTTTCTTTACCATTAAGTGTATTTTTTCAGGGAATAATCTTAAATAATATAGCCATTTT